>NC_000011.10:51420733-51622621 GCF_000001405.40 Homo sapiens | reverse complement strand
CCTGTTTAGTTTTTCTGTGAAGATGAACCCGTTTCCAACGAAATCTTCACAGAGGTCCACATATCCACTTGCAGAATCCAAAGAAAGAGAGTTTCAAAACTGCTCCATCAACAGGATTGTTCACATCTGTGAGTTGAATGCAGTCATCACAGGAAACATTCTGAGAATGCTTCTGTCTAGGTTTGATGTGAAGATATACCCGTTTCGAAGGAAGGCCACAAAGTGGTCCAAATATCCACTTGCAGATTCTACAAAAAGTGTGTTTGAAAGCTAAACTATGAAAGCAAGGTTCAACTCTGTGAGTTGAATGCAAACATCACAAAGAAGTTTCTCAGAATGCTTCCGTGTAGTTCTGGGAAATTTATCCCGTTTCCAACGAAATCCTCAGAGAGGTCCAAATATCCACTTGCAGATTCTACAGAAAGTGTGTTTGGAAACTGCGCCATCTAAAGGAATGTTCAGCTCTGTTAGTTCAATCCAATGATAACTAAGAATTGTCTGTGAATGCTTCCGTTTGGTTTTTAGATGAAGTTATTTCCTTTTCTACAGTAGGCCTCAAAGCAGTCCAAATCTCCAATCGTAGATTCTACAAAAAGATTGTTTACAACCTGCTCTATCTATAGGAATGTTCAACTTTGTGAGTCGAATGCAATCATCACAAAGTAGTTTCTGAGAATGCTTCCATCTAGTTTTTATGTGAAGATTTTCCTTTTCCACCACAGGCCTCACAGCCCTCCAAATGTCCACTTGCAGATTCTAGAAAAAGAGGGTTTCAGAGCTGCTCTGTCAAGAGGAAAGTTCAATTCCTGAAGTGGAACACAAACATCACAAAGCAGTTTCTGAGAATGCTCCTGTTTAGTTTTTCTGTGAAGATGAACCCGTTTCCAACGAAATCTTCACAGAGGTCCACATATCCACTTGCAGAATCCAAAGAAAGAGAGTTTCAAAACTGCTCCATCAGCAGGATTGTTCACCTCTGTGAGTTGAATGCAGTCATCACAGGAAACATTCTGAGAATGCTTCTGTCTAGGTTTGATGTGAAGATATACCCCTTTCGAAGGAAGGCCACAAAGTGGTCCAAATATCCACTTGCAGATTCTACAAAAAGAGTGTTTGAAAGCTGAACTATGAAAGCAAGGTTCAACTCTGTGAGTTGAATGCAAACATCACAAAGAAGTTTCTCAGAATGCTTCCGTGTAGTTCTGGGAAGTTTATCCCGTTTCCAACGAAATCCTCAGAGAGGTCCAAATATCCACTTGCAGATTCTACAGAAAGTGTGTTTGGAAACTGCTCCATCTAAAGGAATGTTCAGCTCTGTTAGTTCAATCCAATGATCACTAAGAATTGTCTGTGAATGCTTCAGTTTGGTTTTTAGATGAAGATATTTCCTTTACTACAGTAGGCCTCAAAGCAGTCCAAATCTCCAATCGCAGATTCTACAAAAAGATTGTTTACAACCTGCTCTATCTATAGGAATGTTCAACTGTGTGTCGAATGCAATCATCACAAAGTAGTTTCTGAGAATGCTTCCATCTAGTTTTTATGTGAAGATTTTCCTTTTCCACCACAGGCCTCAAAGCCCTCCAAATGTCCACTTGCAGATTCTAGAAAAAGAGGGTTTCAGAGCTGCTCTGTCAAGAGGAAAGTTCAATTCTTGAAGTGGAACACAAACATCACAAAGCAGTTTCTGAGAATGCTTCTGTTTAGTTTTTCTGTGAAGATGAACCCGTTTCCAACGAAATCTTCACAGAGGTCCACATATCAACTTGCAGAATCCAAAGAAAGAGAGTTTCAAAACTGCTCCATCAACAGGATTGTTCACCTCTGTGAGTTGAATGCAGTCATCACAGGAAACATTCTGAGAATGCTTCTGTCTAGGTTTGATGTGAAGATGTACCCGTTTCAAAGGAAGGCCACAAAGTGGTCCATATATCCACTTGCAGATTCCACAAAAAGAGTGTTTGAAAGCTGAACTATGAAAGCAAGGTTCAACTCTGTGAGTTGAATGCAAACATCACAAAGAAGTTTCTCAGAATGCTTCCGTGTAGTTCTGGGAAGTTTATCCCTTTTCCAACGAAATCCTCAGAGAGGTCCAAATATCCACTTGCAGATTCTACAGAAAGTGTGTTTGGAAACTACGCCATCTAAAGGAATGTTCAGCTCTGTTAGATCAATGCAATGATCACTAAGAATTGTCTGTGAATGCTTCCGTTTGGTTTTTAGATGAAGTTATTTCCTTTACTACAGTAGGCCTCAAAGCAGTCCAAATCTCCAATCGCAGATTCTACAAAAAGATTGTTTACAACCTGCTCTATCTATAGGAATGTTCAACTCTGTGAGTCGAAAGCCATCATCACAAAGTAGTTTCTGAGAATGCTTCCATCTAGTTTTTATGTGAAGATTTTCCTTTTCCACCACAGGCCTCAAAGCCCTCCAAATGTCCACTTGCAGATTCTAGAAAAAGAGGGTTTCAGAGCTGCTCTGTCAAGAGGAAAGTTCAATTCTTGAAGTGGAACACAAACATCACAAAGCAGTTTCTGAGAATGTTTCTGTTTAGTTTTTCTGTGAAGATGAACCCGTTTCCAACGAAATCTTCACAGAGGTCCACATATCAACTTGCAGAATCCAAAGAAAGAGAGTTTCAAAAGTGCTTCATCAACAGGATTGTTCACCTCTGTGAGTTGAATGCAGTCATCACAGGAAACATTCTGAGAATGCTTCTGTCTAGGTTTGATGTGAAGATATACCCGTTTCGAAGGAAGGCCACAAAGTGGTCCAAATATCCACTTGCAGATTCTACAAAAAGAGTGTTTGAAAGCTGAACTATGAAAGCAAGGTTCAACTCTGTGAGTTGAATGCAAACATCACAAAGAAGTTTCTCACAATGCTTCCGTGTAGTTCTGGGAAGTTTATCCCGTTTCCAACGAAATCCTCAGAGAAGTCCAAATATCCACTTGCAGATTCTACAGAAAGTGTGTTTGGAAACTGCTCCATCTAAAGGAATGTTCAGCTCTGTTAGTTCAATCCAATGATCACTAAGAATTGTCTGTGAATGCTTCCGTTTGGTTTTTAGATGAAGTTATTTCCTTTACTACAGTAGGCCTCAAAGCAGTCCAAATCTCCAATCGCAGATTCTACAAAAACATTGTTTACAACCTGCTCTATCTATAGGAATGTTCAACTCTGTGAGTCGAATGCAATCATCACAAAGTAGTTTCTGAGAATGCTTCCATCTAGTTTTTATGTGAAGATTTTCCTTTTCCACCACAGGCCTCAAAGCCCTCCAAATGTCCACTTGCAGATTCTAGAAAAAGAGGGTTTCAGAGCTGCTCTGTCAAGAGGAAAGTTCAATTCTTGAAGTGGAACACAAACATCACAAAGTAGTTTCTGAGAATGCTTCTGTTTAGTTTTTCTGTGAAGATGAACCCGTTTCCAACGAAATCTTCACAGAGGTCCACATATCAACTTGCAGAATCCAAAGAAAGAGAGTTTCAAAAGTGCTCCATCAACAGGATTGTTCACCTCTGTGAGTTGAATGCAGTCATCACAGGAAACATTCTGAGAATGCTTCTGTCTAGGTTTGATGTGAAGATATACCCGTTTCGAAGGAAGGCCACAAAGTGGTCCAAATATCCACTTGCAGATTCTACAAAAAGAGTATTTGAAAGCTGAACTATGAAAGCAAGGTTCAACTCTGTGAGTTGAATGCAAACATCACAAAGAAGTTTCTCAGCATGCTTCCGTGTAGTTCTGGGAAGTTTATCCCGTTTCCAACGAAATCCTCAGAGAAGTCCAAATATCCACTTGCAGATTCTACAGAAAGTGTGTTTGGAAACTGCGCCGTCTAAAGCAATGTTCAGCTCTGTTAGTTCAATGCAATGATCACTAAGAATTGTCTGTGAATGCTTCCGTTTGGTTTTCAGATGAAGTTATTTCCTTTACTACAGTAGGCCTCAAAGCAGTCCAAATCTCCAATCGCAGATTCTACAAAAAGATTGTTTACAACCTGCTCTATCTATAGGAATGTTCAACTCTGTGAGTCGAATGCAATCATCACAAAGTAGTTTCTGAGAATGCTTCCATCTAGTTTTTATGGGAAGATTTTCCTTTTCCACCACAGGCCTCAAAGCCCTCCAAATGTCCACTTGCAGACTCTAGAAAAAGAGGGTTTCAGAGCTGCTCTGTCAAGAGGAAAGTTCAATTCTTGAAGTGGAACACAAACATCACAAAGCAGTTTCTGAGAATGCTCCTGTTTAGTTTTTCTGTGAAGATGAACCCGTTTCCAACGAAATCTTCACAGAGGTCCACATATCAACTTGCAGAATCCAAAGAAAGAGAGTTTCAAAACTGCTCCATCAGCAGGATTGTTCACCTCTGTGAGTTGAATGCAGTCATCACAGGAAACATTCTGAGAATGCTTCTGTCTAGGTTTGATGTGAAGATATACCCGATTCGAAGGAAGGCCACAAAGTGGTCCAAATATCCACTTGCAGATTCTACAAAAAGAGTGTTTGAAAGCTGAACTATGAAAGCAAGGTTCAACTCTGTGAGTTGAATGCAAACATCACAAAGAAGTTTCTCAGCATGCTTCCGTGTAGTTCTGGGAAGTTTATCCCGTTTCCAACGAAATCCTCAGAGAGGTCCAAATATCCACTTGCAGATTCTACAGAAAGTGTGTTTGGAAACTGCGCCATCTAAAGCAATGTTCAGCTCTGTTAGTTCAATGCAATGATCACTAAGAATTGTCTGTGAATGCTTCCGTTTGATTTTTAGATGAAGTTATTTCCTTTACTACAGTAGGCCTCAAAGCAGTCCAAATCTCCAATCGCAGATTCTACAAAAAGATTGTTTACAACCTGCTCTATCTATAGGAATGTTCAACTCTGTGAGCCGAATGTAATCATCACAAAGTAGTTTCTGAGAATGCTTCCATCTAGTTTTTATGTGAAGATTTTCCTATTCCACCACAGGCCTCAAAGCCCTCCAAATGTCCACTTGCAGATTCTAGAATAAGAGGGTTTCAGAGCTGCTCTGTCAAGAGGAAAGTTCAATTCCTGAAGTGGAACACAAACATCACAAAGCAGTTTCTGAGAATGCTTCTGTTTAGTTTTTCTGTGAAGATGAACCCGTTTCCAACGAAATCTTCACAGAGGTCCACATATCCACTTGCAGAATCCAAAGAAAGAGAGTTTCAAAACTGCTCCATCAGCAGGATTGTTCACCTCTGTGAGTTGAATGCAGTCATCACAGGAAACATTCTGAGAATGCTTCTGTCTAGGTTTGATGTGAAGATATACCCGTTTCGAAGGAAGGCCACAAAGTGGTCCAAATATCCACTTGCAGATTCTACAAAAAGAGTGTTTGAAAGCTGAACTATGAAAGCAAGGTTCAACTCTGTGAGTTGAATGCAAACATCAAAAAGAAGTTTCTCAGCATGCTTCCGTGTAGTTCTGGGAAGTTTATCCCGTTTCCAACGAAATCCTCAGAGAGGTCCAAATATCCACTTGCAGATTCTACAGAAAGTGTGTTTGGAAACTGCGCCATCTAAAGGAATGTTCAGCTCTGTTAGTTCAATGCAATGATCACTAAGAATTGTCTGTGAATGCTTCCGTTTGGTTTTTAGATGAAGTTATTTAATTTACTACAGTAGGCCTCAAAGCAGTCCAAATCTCCAATCGCAGATTCTACAAAAAGATTGTTTACAACCTGCTCTATCTATAGGAATGTTGAACTCTGTGAGTCGAATGCAATCATCACAAAGTAGTTTCTGAGAATGCTTCCATCTAATTTTTATGTGAAGATTTTCCTTTTCCACCACAGGCCTCAAAGCCCTCCAAATGTCCACTTGCAGAATCTAGAAAAAGAGGGTTTCAGAGCTGCTCTGTCAAGAGGAAAGTTCAATTCTTGAAGTGGAACACAAACATCACAAAGCAGTTTCTGAAAATGCTCCTTTTTAGTTTTTCTGTGAAGATGAACCCGTTTCCAACGAAATCTTCACAGAGGTCCACATATCCACTTGCAGAATCCAAAGAAAGAGAGTTTCAAAACTGCTCCATCAGCAGGATTGTTCACCTCTGTGAGTTGAATGCAGTCATCACAGGAAACATTCTGAGAATGCTTCTGTCTAGGTTTGATGTGAAGATATACCCGTTTCGAAGGAAGGCCACAAAGTTGTCAAATATCCACTTGCAGATCCTACAAAAAGAGTGTTTGAAAGCTGAACTATGAAAGCAAGGTTCAACTCTGTGAGTTGAATGCAAACATCACAAAGAAGTTTCTCAGAATGCTTCCGTGTAGTTCTGGGAAGTTTATCCCGTTTCCAACGAAATCCTCAGAGAGGTCCAAATATCCACTTGCAGATTCTACAGAAAGTGTGTTTGGAAACTGCTCCATCTAAAGGAATGTTCAGCTCTGTTAGTTCAATCCAATGATCACTAAGAATTGTCTGTGAATGCTTCCGTTTGGTTTTTAGATGAAGTTATTTCCTTTACTACAGTAGGCCTCAAAGCAGTCCAAATCTCCAATCGCAGATTCTACAAAAAGATTGTTTACAACCTGCTCTATCTATAGGAATGTTCAACTCTGTGAGTCGAATGCAATTCTCACAAAGTAGTTTCTGAGAATGCTTCCATCTAGTTTTTATGTGAAGATTTTCCTTTTCCACCACAGGCCTCAAAGCCCTCCAAATGTCCACTTGCAGATTCTAGAATAAGAGGGTTTCAGAGCTGCTCTGTCAAGAGGAAAGTTCAATTCCTGAAGTGGAACACAAACATCACAAAGCAGTTTCTGAGAATGCTTCTGTTTAGTTTTTCTGTGAAGATGAACCCGTTTCCAACGAAATCTTCACAGAGGTCCACATATCAACTTGCAGAATCCAAAGAAAGAGAGTTTCAAAACTGCTCCATCAACAGGATTGTTCACCTCTGTGAGTTGAATGCAGTCATCACAGGAAACATTCTGAGAATGCTTCTGTCTAGGTTTGATGTGAAGATATACCCGTTTCGAAGGAAGGCCACAAAGTGGTCCAAATATCCACTTGCAGATTCTACAAAAAGAGTGTTTGAAAGCTGAACTATGAAAGCAAGGTTCAACTCTGTGAGTTGAATGCAAACATCACAAAGAAGTTTCTCAGAATGCTTCCCTGTAGTTCTGGGAATTTTATCCCGTTTCCAAAGAAATCCTCAGAGAAGTCCAAATATCCACTTGCAGATTCTACAGAAAGTGTGTTTGGAAACTGCTCCATCTAAAGGAATGTTAAGCTCTGTTAGTTCAATCCAATGATCACTAAGAATTGTCTGTGAATGCTTCCGTTTGGTTTTTAGATGAAGTTATTTCCTTTACTACAGTAGGCCTCAAAGCAGTCCAAATCTCCAATCGCAGATTCTACAAAAAGATTGTTTACAACCTGCTCTATCTATAGGAATGTTCAACTCTGTGAGTCGAATGCAATCATCACAAAGTAGTTTCTGAGAATGCTTCCATCTAGTTTTTATGGGAAGATTTTCCTTTTCCACCACAGGCCTCAAAGCCCTCCAAATGTCCACTTGCAGATTCTAGAAAAAGAGGGTTTCAGAGCTGCTCTGTCAAGAGGAAAGTTCAATTCTTGAAGTGGAACACAAACATCACAAAGCAGTTTCTGAGAATGCTCCTGTTTAGTTTTTCTGTGAAGATGAACACGTTTCCAACGAAATCTTCACAGAGGTCCACATATCCACTTGCAGAATCCAAAGAAAGAGAGTTTCAAAACTGCTCCATCAGCAGGATTGTTCACCTCTGTGAGTTGAATGCAGTCATCACAGGAAACATTCTGAGAATGCTTCTGTCTAGGTTTGATGTGAAGATATACCCGTTTCGAAGGAAGGCCACAAAGTGGTCCAAATATCCACTTGCAGATTCTACAAAAAGAGTGTTTGAAAGCTGAACTATGAAAGCAAGGTTCAACTCTGTGAGTTGAATGCAAACATCACAAAGAAGTTTCTCACAATGCTTCCGTGTAGTTCTGGGAAGTTTATCCCGTTTCCAACGAAATCCTCAGAGAGGTCCAAATATCCACTTGCAGATTCTACAGAAAGTGTGTTTGGAAAGTGCTCCATCTAAAGGAATGTTCAGCTCTGTTAGTTCAATGCAATGATCACTAAGAATTGTCTGTGAATGCTTCCGTTTGGTTTTTAGATGAAGTTATTTCCTTTACTACAGTAGGCCTCAAAGCAGTCCAAATCTCCAATCGCAGATTCTACAAAAAGATTGTTTACAACCTGCTCTATCTATAGGAATGTTCAACTCTGTGAGTCGAATGCAATCATCACAAAGTAGTTTCTGAGAATGCTTCCATCTAGTTTTTATGTGAAGATTTTCCTTTTCCACCACAGGCCTCAAAGCCCTCCAAATGTCCACTTGCAGATTCTAGAAAAAGAGGGTTTCAGAGCTGCTCTGTCAAGAGGAAAGTTCAATTCTAGAAGTGGAACACAAACATCACAAAGTAGTTTCTGAGAATGCTTCTGTTTAGTTTTTCTGTGAAGATGCACACGTTTCCAACGAAATCTTCATAGAGGTCCACATATCAACTTGCAGAATCCAAAGAAAGAGAGTTTCAAAAGTGCTCCATCAACAGGATTCTTCACCTCTGTGAGTTGAATGCAGTCATCACAGGAAACATTCTGAGAATGCTTCTGTCTAGGTTTGATGTGAAGATATACCCGTTTCGAAGGAAGGCCACAAAGTGGTCCAAATATCCACTTGCAGATTCTACAAAAAGAGTGTTTGAAAGCTGAACTATGAAAGCAAGGTTCAACTCTGTGAGTTGAATGCAAACATCACAAAGAAGTTTCTCAGAATGCTTCCGTGTAGTTCTGGGAAGTTTATCCCGTTTCCAACGAAATCCTCAGAGAGGTCCAAATATCCACTTGCAGATTCTACAGAAAGTGTGTTTGGAAACTGCGCCATCTAAGGGAATGTTCAGCTCTGTTAGTTCAATCCAATGATCACTAAGAATTGTCTGTGAATGCTTCCGTTTGGTTTTTAGATGAAGTTATTTCCTTTACTACAGTAGGCCTCAAAGCAGTCCAAATCTCCAATCGCAGATTCTACAAAAAGATTGTTTACAACCTGCTCTATCTATAGGAATGTTCAACTCTGTGAGTCGAATGCAATCATCACAAAGTAGTTTCTGAGAATGCTTCCATCTAGTTTTTATGTGAAGATTTTCCTTTTCCACCACAGGCCTCAAAGCCCTCCAAATGTCCACTTGCAGATTCTAGAAAAAGAGGGTTTCAGAGCTGCTCTGTCAAGAGGAAAGTTCAATTCTTGAAGTGGAACACAAACATCACAAAGCAGTTTCTGAGAATGCTTCTGTTTAGTTTTTCTGTGAAGATGAACCCGTTTCCAACGAAATCTTCACAGAGGTCCACATATCAACTTGCAGAATCCAAAGAAAGAGAGTTTCAAAACTGCTCCATCAACAGGATTGTTCACCTCTGTGAGTTGAATGCAGTCATCACAGGAAACATTCTGAGAATGCTTCTGTCTAGGTTTGATGTGAAGATATACCCTTTTCGAAGGAAGGCCACAAAGTGGTCCAAATATCCACTTGCAGATTCTACAAAAAGAGTGTTTGAAAGCTGAACTATGAAAGCAAGGTTCAACTCTGTGAGTTGAATGCAAACATCACAAAGAAGTTTCTCAGAATGCTTCCGTGTAGTTCTGGGAAGTTTATCCCGTTTCCAACGAAATCCTCAGAGAGGTCCAAATATCCACTTGCAGATTCTACAGAAAGTGTGTTTGGAAACTACGCCATCTAAAGGAATGTTCAGCTCTGTTAGATCAATGCAATGATCACTAAGAATTGTCTGTGAATGCTTCCGTTTGGTTTTTAGATGAAGTTATTTCCTTTACTACAGTAGGCCTCAAAGCAGTCCAAATCTTTAATCGCAGATTCTACAAAAACATTGTTTACAACCTGCTCTATCTATAGGAATGTTCAACTCTGTGAGTCGAATGCAATCATCACAAAGTAGTTTCTGAGAATGCTTCCATCTAGTTTTTATGTGAAGATTTTCCTTTTGCACCACAGGCCTCAAAGCCCTCCAAATGTCCACTTGCAGATTCTAGAAAAAGAGGGTTTCAGAGCTGCTCTGTCAAGGGGAAAGTTCAATTCTTGATGTGGAACACAAACATCACAAAGCAGTTTCTGAGAATGCTCCTGTTTAGTTTTTCTGTGAAGATGAACCCGTTTCCAACGAAATCTTCACAGAGGTCCACATATCCACTTGCAGAATCCAAAGAAAGAGAGTTTCAAAACTGCTCCATCAGCAGGATTGTTCACCTCTGTGAGTTGAATGCAGTCATCACAGGAAACATTCTGAGAATGCTTCTGTCTAGGTTTGATGTGAAGATATACCCGTTTCGAAGGAAGGCCACAAAGTGGTCCAAGTATCCACTTGCAGATTCTACAAAAAGAGTGTTTGAAAGCTGAACTATGAAAGCAAGGTTCAACTCTGTGAGTTGAATGCAAACATCCAAAGAAGTTTCTCAGAATGCTTCCGTGTAGTTCTGGGAAGTTTATCCCGTTTCCAACGAAATCCTCAGAGAAGTCCAAATATCCACTTGCAGATTCTACAGAAAGTGTGTTTGGAAACTGCTCCATCTAAAGGAATGTTCAGCTCTGTTAGTTCAATCCAATGATCACTAAGAATTGTCTGTGAATGCTTCCGTTTGGTTTTTAGATGAAGTTATTTCCTTTACTACAGTAGGCCTCAAAGCAGTCCAAATCTCCAATCGCAGATTCTACAAAAAGATTGTTTACAACCTGCTCTATCTATAGGAATGTTCAACTCTGTGAGTCGAAAGCCATCATCACAAAGTAGTTTCTGAGAATGCTTCCATCTTGTTTTTATGTGAAGATTTTCCTTTTCCACCACAGGCCTCAAAGCCCTGCAAATGTCCACTTGCAGATTCTAGAATAAGAGGGTTTCAGAGCTGCTCTGTCAAGAGGAAAGTTCAATTCCTGAAGTGGAACACAAACATCACAAAGCAGTTTCTGAGAATGCTTCTGTTTAGTTTTTCTGTGAAGATGAACCCGTTTCCAACGAAATCTTCACAGAGGTCCACATATCCACTTGTAGAATCCAAAGAAAGAGAGTTTCAAAACTGCTCCATCAGCAGGATTGTTCACCTCTGTGAGTTGAATGCAGTCATCACAGGAAACATTCTGAGAATGCTTCGGTCTAGGTTTGATGTGAAGATATACCCGTTTCGAAGGAAGGCCACAAAGTGGTCCAAATATCCACTTGCAGATTCTACAAAAAGAGTGTTTGAAAGCTGAACTATGAAAGCAAGGTTCAACTCTGTGAGTTGAATGCAAACATCACAAAGAAGTTTCTCAGAATGCTTCCGTGTAGTTCTGGGAAGTTTATCCCGTTTCCATCGAAATCCTCAGAGAAGTCCAAATATCCACTTGCAGATTCTACAGAAAGTGTGTTTGGAAACTGTTCCATCTAAAGGAATGTTCAGCTCTGTTAGTTCAATCCAATGATCACTAAGAATTGTCTGTGAATGCTTCCGTTTGGTTTTTAGATGAAGTTATTTCCTTTACTACAGTAGGCCTCAAAGCAGTCCAAATCTCCAATCGCAGATTCTACAAAAAGATTGTTTACAACCTGCTCTATCTATAGGAATGTTCAACTCTGTGAGTCGAATGCAATCATCACAAAGTAGTTTCTGAGAATGCTTCCATCTAGTTTTTATGTGAAGATTTTCCTTTTCCACCACAGGCCTCAAAGCCCTCCAAATGTCCACTTGCAGATTCTAGAATAAGAGGGTTTCAGAGCTGCTCTTTCAAGAGGAAAGTTGAATTCCTGAAGTGGAACACAAACATCACAAAGCAGTTTCTGAGAATGCTTCTGTTTAGTTTTTCTGTGAAGATGAACCCGTTTCCAACGAAATCCTCACAGAGGTCCACATATCCACTTGCAGAATCCAAAGAAAGAGAGTTTCAAAACTGCTCCATCAGCAGGATTGTTCACCTCTGTGAGTTGAATGCAGTCATCACAGGAAACATTCTGAGAATGCTTCTGTCTAGGTTTGATGTGAAGATATACCCTTTTCAAAGGAAGGCCACAAAGTGGTCCAAATATCCACTTGCAGATTCTACAAAAAGAGTGTTTGAAAGCTGAACTATGAAAGCAAGGTTCAACTCTGTGAGTTGAATGCAAACATCACAAAGAAGTTTCTCACAATGCTTCCGTGTAGTTCTGGGAAGTTTATCCCGTTTCCAACGAAATCCTCAGAGAAGTCCAAATATCCACTTGCAGATTCTACAGAAAGTGGGTTTGGAAACTGCTCCATCTAAAGGAATGTTCAGCTCTGTTAGTTCAATCCAATGATCACTAAGAATTGTCTGTGAATGCTTCCGTTTGGTTTTTAGATGAAGTTATTTCCTTTACTACAGTAGGCCTCAAAGCAGTCCAAATCTCCAATCGCAGATTCTACAAAAAGATTGTTTACAACCTGCTCTATCTATAGGAATGTTCAACTCTGTGAGTCGAATGCAATCATCACAAAGTAGTTTGTGAGAATGCTTCCATCTAGTTTTTATGTGAAGATTTTCCTTTTCCACCACAGGCCTCAAAGCCCTCCAAATGTCCACTTGCAGATTCTAGAATAAGAGGGTTTCAGAGCTGCTCTGTCAAGAGGAAAGTTCAATTCCTGAAGTGGAACACAAACATCACAAAGCAGGTTCTGAGAATGCTTCTGTTTAGTTTTTCTGTGAAGATGAACCCGTTTCCAACGAAATCTTCACAGAGGTCCACATATCCACTTGCAGAATCCAAAGAAAGAGAGTTTCAAAACTGCTCCATCAGCAGGATTGTTCACCTCTGTGAGTTGAATGCAGTCATCACAGGAAACATTCTGAGAATGCTTCTGTCTAGGTTTGATGTGAAGATATACCCGTTTCAAAGGAAGGCCACAAAGTGGTCCAAATATCCACTTGCAGATTCTACAAAAAGAGTGTTTGAAAGCTGAACTATGAAAGCAAGGTTCAACTCTGTGAGTTGAATGCAAACATCACAAAGAAGTTTCTCACAATGCTTCCGTGTAGTTCTGGGAAGTTTATCCCGTTTCCAACGAAATCCTCAGAGAAGTCCAAATATCCACTTGCAGATTCTACAGAAAGTGTGTTTGGAAACTGCTCCATCTAAAGGAATGTTCAGCTCTGTTAGTTCAATCCAATGATCACTAAGAATTGTCTGTGAATGCTTCCGTTTGGTTTTTAGATGCAGTTATTTCCTTTACTACAGTAGGCCTCAAAGCAGTCCAAATCTCCAATCGCAGATTCTAGAAAACGATTGTTTACAACCTGCTCTATCTATAGGAATGTTCAACTCTGTGAGTCAAATGCAATCATCACAAAGTAGTTTCTGAGAATGCTTCCATCTAGTTTTTATGTGAAGATTTTCCTTTTCCACCACAGGCCTCAAAGCCCTCCAAATGTCCACTTGCAGATTCTAGAATAAGAGGGTTTCAGAGCTGCTCTGTCAAGAGGAAAGTTCAATTCTTGAAGTGGAACACAAACATCACAAAGCAGTTTCTGAGAATGCTTCTGTTTAGTTTTTCTGTGAAGATGAACCCGTTTCCAACGAAATCTTCACAGAGGTCCACATATCCACTTGCAGAATCCAAAGAAAGAGAGTTTCAAAACTGCTCCATCAGCAGGATTGTTCACCTCTGTGAGTTGAATGCAGTCATCACAGGAAACATTCTGAGAATGCTTCTGTCTAGGTTTGATGTGAAGATATACCCGTTTCGAAGGAAGGCCACAAAGTGGTCCAAATATCCACTTGCAGATTCTACAAAAAGAGTGTTTGAAAGCTGAACTATGAAAGCAAGGTTCAACTCTGTGAGTTGAATGCAAACATCACAAAGAAGTTTCTCACAATGCTTCCGTGTAGTTCTGGGAAGTTTATCCCGTTTCCAACGAAATCCTCAGAGAAGTCCAAATATCCACTTGCAGACTCTGCAGAAAGTGTGTTTGGAAACTTCTCCATCTAAAGGAATGTTCAGCTCTGTTAGTTCAATCCAATGATCACTAAGAATTGTCTGTGAATGCTTCCGTTTGGTTTTTAGATGAAGTTATTTCCTTTACTACAGTAGGCCTCAAAGCAGTCCAAATCTCCAATCGCAGATTCTACAAAAAGATTGTTTACAACCTGCTCTATCTATAGGAATGTTCAACTCTGTGAGTCGAATGCAATCATCACAAAGTAGTTTCTGAGAATGCTTCCATCTAGTTTTTATGTGAAGATTTTCCTTTTCCACCACAGGCCTCAAAGCCCTCCAAATGTCCACTTGCAGATTCTAGAATAAGAGGGTTTCAGAGCTGCTCTGTCAAGAGGAAAGTTCAATTCCTGAAGTGGAACACAAACATCACAAAGCAGTTTCTGAGAATGCTTCTGTTTAGTTTTTCTGTGAAGATGAACCCGTTTCCAACGAAATCTTCACAGAGGTCCACATATCCACTTGCAGAATCCAAAGAAAGAGAGTTTCAAAACTGCTCCATCAGCAGGATTGTTCACCTCTGTGAGTTGAATGCAGTCAACACAGGAAACATTCTGAGAATGCTTCTGTCTAGGTTTGATGTGAAGATATACCCGTTTCGAAGGAAGGCCACAAAGTGGTCCAAATATCCACTTGCAGATTCCACAAAAAGAGTGTATGAAAGCTGAACTAGGAAAGCAAGGTTCAACTCTGTGAGTTGAATGCAAACATCACAAAGAAGTTTCTCACAATGCTTCCGTGTAGTTCTGGGAAGTTTATCCCGTTTCCAACGACATCCTCAGAGAAGTCCAAATATCCACTTGCAGATTCTACAGAAAGTGTGTTTGGAAACTGCTCCATCTAAAGGAATGTTCAGCTCTGTTAGTTCAATCCAATGATCACTAAGAATTGTCTGTGAATGCTTCCGTTTGGTTTTTAGATGAAGTTATTTCCTTTACTACAGTAGGCCTCAAAGCAGTCCAAATCTCCAATCGCAGATTCTACAAAAAGATTGTTTACAACCTGCTCTATCTATAGGAATGTTCAACTCTGTGAGTCGAATGCAATCATCACAAAGTAGTTTCTGAGAATGCTTCCATCTAGTTTTTATATGAAGATTTTCCTTTTCCACCACAGGCCTCAAAGCCCTCCAAATGTCCACTTGCAGATTCTAGAAAAAGAGGGTTTCAGAGCTGCTCTGTCAAGAGGAAAGTTCAATTCTTGAAGTGGAACACAAACATCACAAAGCAGTTTCTGAGAATGCTCCTGTTTAGTTTTTATGTGAAGATGAACCCGTTTCCAACGAAATCTTCACAGAGGTCCACATATCCACTTGCAGAATCCAAAGAAAGAGAGTTTCAAAACTGCTCCATCAGCAGGATTGTTCACCTCTGTGAGTTGAATGCAGTCATCACAAGAAACATTCTGAGAATGCTTCTGTCTAGGTTTGATGTGAAGATGTACCCGTTTCAAAGGAAAGCCACAAAGTGGTCCAAATATCCACTTGCAGATTCTACAAAAAGAGTGTTTGAAAGCTGAACTATGAAAGCAAGGTTCAACTCTGTGAGTTGAATGCAAACATCACAAAGATGTTTCTCACAATGCTTCCGTGTAGTTCTGGGAAGTTTATCCCGTTTCCAACGAAATCCTCAGAGAAGTCCAAATATCCACTTGCAGATTCTGCAGAAAGTGTGTTTGGAAACTGCTCCATCTAAAGGAATGTTCAGCTCTGTTAGTTCAATCCAATGATCACTAAGAATTGTCTGTGAATGCTTCCGTTTGGTTTTTAGATGAAGTTATTTCCTTTACTACAGTAGGCCTCAAAGCAGTCCAAATCTCCAATCGCAGATTCTACAAAAAGATTGTTTACAACCTGCTCTATCTATAGGAATGTTCAACTCTGTGAGTCGAATGCAATCATCACAAAGTAGTTTCTGAGAATGCTTCCATCTAGTTTTTATGGGAAGATTTTCCTTTTCCACCACAGGCCTCAAAGCCCTCCAAATGTCCACTTGCAGATTCTAGAAAAAGAGGGTTTCAGAGCTGCTCTGTCAAGAGGAAAGTTCAATTCTTGAAGTGGAACACAAACATCACAAAGCAGTTTCTGAGAATGCTTCTGTTTAGTTTTTCTGTGAAGATGAACCCGTTTCCAACGAAATCTTCACAGAGGTCCACATATCCACTTGCAGAATCCAAAGAAAGAGAGTTTCAAAACTGCTCCATCAGCAGGATTGTTCACCTCTGTGAGTTGAATGCAGTCATCACAGGAAACATTCTGAGAATGCTTCTGTCTAGGTTTGATGTGAAGATATACCCGTTTCCAAGGAAGGCCACAAAGTGGTCCAAATATCCACTTGCAGATTCTACAAAAGGAGTGTTTGAAAGCTGAACTATGAAAGCAAGGTTCAACTCTGTGAGTTGAATGCAAACATCACAAAGAAGTTTCTCACAATGCTTCCGTGTAGTTCTGGGAAGTTTATCCCGTTTCCAACGAAATCCTCAGAGAGGTCCAAATATCCACTTGCAGATTCTACAGAAAGTGTGTTTGGAAACTGCGCCATCTAAAGGAATGTTCAGCTCTGTTAGTTCAATGCAATGATCACTAAGAATTGTCTGTGAATGCTTCCGTTTGGTTTTTAGATGAAGTTATTTCCTTTACTACAGTAGGCCTCAAAGCAGTCCAAATCTCCAATCGCAGATTCTACAAAAAGATTGTTTACAACCTGCTCTATCTATAGGAATGTTCAACTCTGTGAGTCGAATGCAATCATCACAAAGTACTTTCTGAGAATGCTTCCATCTAGTTTTTATGTGAAGATTTTCCTTTTCCACCACAGGCCTCAAAGCCCTCCAAATGTCCACTTGCAGATTCTAGAATAAGAGGGTTTCAGAGCTGCTCTGTCAAGAGGAAAGTTCAATTCCTGAAGTGGAACACAAACATCACAAAGCAGTTTCTGAGAATGCTTCTGTTTAGTTTTTCTGTGAAGATGAACCCGTTTCCAACGAAATCTTCACAGAGGTCCACATATCCACTTGCAGAATCCAAAGAAAGAGAGTTTCAAAACTGCTCCATCAGCAGGATTGTTCACCTCTGTGAGTTGAATGCAGTCATCACAGGAAACATTCTGAGAATGCTTCTGTCTAGGTTTGATGTGAAGATATACCCATTTCGAAGGAAGGCCACAAAGTGGTCCAAATATCCACTTGCAGATTCTACAAAAAGAGTGTTTGAAAGCTGAACTATGAAAGCAAGGTTCAACTCTGTGAGTTGAATGCAAACATGACAAAGAAGTTTCTCAGAATGCTTCCGTGTAGTTCTGGGAAGTTTATCCCGTTTCCAACGAAATCCTCAGAGAGGTCCAAATATCCACTTGCAGATTCTACAGAAAGTGTGTTTGGAAAGTGCTCCATCTAAAGGAATGTTCAGCTCTGTTAGTTCAATCCAATATCACTAAGAATTATCTGTGAATGCTTCCGTTTTGTTTTTAGATGAAGTTATTTCCTTTACTACAGTAGGCCTCAAAGCAGTCCAAATCTCCAATCGCAGATTCTACAAAAAGATTGTTTACAACCTGCTCTATCTATGGGAATGTTCAACTCCTGTGAGTCGAATGCAATCATCACAAAGTAGGTTCTGAGAATGCTTCCATCTAGTTTTTATGCGAAGATTTTCCTTTTCCACCACAGGCCTCAAAGCCCTCCAAATGTCCACTTGCAGATTCTAGAAAAAGAGGGTTTCAGAGCTGCTCTGTCAAGAGGAAAGTTCAATTCTTGAAGTGGAACACAAACATCACAAAGCAGTTTCTGAGAATGCTTCTGTTTAGTTTTTCTGTGAAGATGAACCCGTTTCCAACGAAATCTTCACAGAGGTCCACATATCCACTTGCAGAATTCAAAGAAAGAGAGTTACAAAACTGCTCCATCAGCAGGATTGTTCACCTTTGTGAGTTGAATGCAGTCATCACAGGAAACATTCTGAGAATGCTTCTGTCTAGGTTTGATGTGAAGATATACCCGTTTCGAAGGAAGGCCAGAAAGTGGTCCAAATATCCACTTGCAGATTCTACAAAAAGAGTGTTTGAAAGCTGAACTATGAAAGCAAGGTTCAACTCTGTGAGTTGAATGCAAACATCACAAAGAAGTTTCTCAGAATGCTTCCGTGTAGTTCTGGGAAGTTTATCCCGTTTCCAACGAAATCCTCAGAGAAGTCCAAATGTCCACTTGCAGATTCTACAGAAAGTGTGTTTGGAAACTGCTCCATCTAAAGGAATGTTCAGCTCTGTTAGTTCAATGCAATGATCACTAAGAATTGTCTGTGAATGGTTCCGTTTGGTTTTTAGATGAAGTTATTTCCTTTACTACAGTAGGCCTCAAAGCAGTCCAAATCTCCAATCGCAGATTCTACAAAAAGATTGTTTACAACCTGCTCTATGTATAGGAATGTTCAACTCTGTGAGTCGAATGCAATCATCACAAAGTAGTTTCTGAGAATGCTTTCCATCTAGTTTTTATGTGAAGATTTTCCTTTTCCACCACAGGCCTCAAAGCCCTCGAAATGTCCACTTGCAGACTCTAGAAAAAGAGGGTTTCAGAGCTGCTCTGTCAAGAGGAAAGTTCAATTCTTGAAGTGGAACACAAACATCACAAAGCAGTTTCTGAGAATGCTTCTGTTTAGTTTTTCTGTGAAGATGAACCCGTTTCCAACGAAATCTTCACAGAGGTCCACATATCCACTTGCAGAATCCAAAGAAAGAGAGTTTCAAAACTGCTCCATCAACAGGATTGTTCACCTGTGTGAGTTGAATGCAGTCATCACAGGAAACATTCTGAGAATGCTTCTGTCTAGGTTTGATGTGAAGATATACCCGTTTCGAAGGAAGGCCACAAAGTGGTCCAAATATCCACTTGCAGATTCTACAAAAAGAGTGTTTGAAAGCTGAACTATGAAAGCAAGGTTCAACTCTGTGAGTTGAATGCAAACATCACAAAGAAGTTTCTCACAATGCTTCCCTGTAGTTCTGGGAAGTTTATCCCGTTTCCAACGAAATCCTCAGAGAAGTCCAAATATCCACTTGCAGATTCTACAGAAAGTGGGTTTGGAAACTGCTCCATCTAAAGGAATGTTCAGCTCTGTTAGTTCAATCCAATGATCACTAAGAATTGTCTGTGAATGCTTCCGTTTGGTTTTTAGATGAAGTTATTTCCTTTACTACAGTAGGCCTCAAAGCAGTCCAAATCTCCAATCGCAGATTCTACAAAAAGATTGTTTACAACCTGCTCTATCTATAGGAATGTTCAACTCTGTGAGTCGAATGCAATCATCACAAAGTAGTTTCTGAGAATGCTTCCATCTAGTTTTTATGTGAAGATTTTCCTTTTGCACCACAGGCCTCAAAGCCCTCCAAATGTCCACTTGCAGATTCTAGAAAAAGAGGGTTTCAGAGCTGCTCTGTCAAGAGGAAAGTTCAATTCTTGATGTGGAAGACAAACATCACAAAGCAGTTTCTGAGAATGCTCCTGTTTAGTTTTTCTGTGAAGATGAACCCGTTTCCAACGAAATCTTCACAGAGGTCCACATATCCACTTGCAGAATCCAAAGAAAGAGAGTTTCAAAACTGCTCCATCAGCAGGATTGTTCACCTCTGTGAGTTGAATGCAGTCATCACAGGAAACATTCTGAGAATGCTTCTGTCTAGGTTTGATGTGAAGATGTACCCGTTTCAAAGGAAGGCCACAAAGTGGTCCAAATATCCACTTGCAGATTCTACAAAAAGAGTGTTTGAAAGCTGAACTATGAAAGCAAGGTTCAACTCTGTGAGTTGAATGCAAACATCAGAAAGATGATTCTCACAATGCTTCCGTGTAGTTCTGGGAAGTTTATCCCGTTTCCAACGAAATCCTCAGAGAAGTCCAAATATCCACTTGCAGATTCTGCAGAAAGTGTGTTTGGAAACTGCTCCATCTAAAGGAATGTTCAGCTCTGTTAGCTCAATCCAATGATCACTAAGAATTGTCTGTGAATGCTTCCGTTTGGTTTTTAGATGAAGTTATTTCCTTTACTACAGTAGGACTCAAAGCAGTCCAAATCTCCAATCGCAGATTCTACAAAAACATTGTTTACAACCTGCTCTATCTATAGTAATGTTCAACTCTGTGAGTCGAATGCAATCATCACAAAGTAGTTTCTGAGAATGCTTCCATCTAGTTTTTATGGGAAGATTTTCCTTTTCCACCACAGGCCTCAAAGCCCTCCAAATGTCCACTTGCAGATTCTAGAAAAAGAGGGTTTCAGAGCTGCTCTGTCAAGAGGAAAGTTCAATTCTTGAAGTGGAACACAAACATCACAAAGCAGTTTCTGAGAATGCTCCTGTTTAGTTTTTCTGTGAAGATGAACCCGTTTCCAACGAAATCTTCACAGAGGTCCACATATCCACTTGCAGAATCCAAAGAAAGAGAGTTTCAAAACTGCTCCAACAGCAGGATTGTTCACCTCTGTGAGTTGAATGCAGTCATCACAGGAAACATTCTGAGAATGCTTCTGTCTAGGTTTGATGTGAAGATATACCCGTTTCGAAGGAAGGCCACAAAGTGGTCCAAATATCCACTTGCAGATTCTACAAAAAGAGTTTTTGAAAGCTGAACTATGAAAACAAGGTTCAACTCTGTGAGTTGAATGCAAACATCACAAAGAAGTTTCTCACAATGCTTCCGTGTAGTTCTGGGAAGTTTATCCCGTTTCCAACGAAATCCTCAGAGAAGTCCAAATATCCACTTGCAGATTCTACAGAAAGTGGGTTTGGAAACTGCTCCATCTAAAGGAATGTTCAGCTCTGTTAGTTCAATCCAATGATCACTAAGAATTGTCTGTGAATGCTTCCGTTTGGTTTTTAGATGAAGTAATTTCCTTTACTACAGTAGGCCTCAAAGCAGTCCAAATCTCCAATCGCAGATTCTACAAAAAGATTGTTTACAACCTGCTCTATCTATAGGAATGTTCAACTCTGTGAGTCGAATGCAATCATCACAAAGAAGTTTCTGAGAATGCTTCCATAAAGTTTTTATGTGAAGATTTTCCTTTACCACCACAGGCCTCAAAGCCCTCCAAATGTCCACTTGCAGATTCTAGAAAAAGAGGGTTTCAGAGCTGCTCTGTCAAGAGGAAAGTTCAATTCTTGAAGTGGAACACAAACATCACAAAGCAGTTTCTGAGAATGCTCCTGTTTAGTTTTTCTGTGAAGATGAACCCGTTTCCAACGAAATCTTCACAGAGGTCCACATATCCACTTGCAGAATCCAAAGAAAGAGAGTTTCAAAACTGCTCCATCAGCAGGATTGTTCACCTCTGTGAGTTGAATGCAGTCATCACAGGAAACATTCTGAGAATGCTTCTGTCTAGGTTTGATGTGAAGATATACCCGTTTCGAAGGAAGGCCACAAAGTGGTCCAAATATCCACTTGCAGATTCTATAAAAAGAGTGTTTGAAAGCTGAACTATGAAAGCAAGGTTCAACTCTGTGAGTTGAATGCAAACATCACAAAGAAGTTTCTCACAATGCTTCAGTGTAGTTCTGGGAAGTTTATCCCGTTTCCAACGAAATCCTCAGAGAGGTCCAAATATCCACTTGCAGATTCTACAGAAAGTGTGTTTGGAAACTGCGCCATCTAAAGGAATGTTCAGCTCTGTTAGTTCAATGCAATGATCACTAAGAATTGTCTGTGAATGCTTCCGTTTGGTTTTTAGATGAAGTTATTTCCTTTACTACAGTAGGCCTCAAAGCAGTCCAAATCTCCAATCGCAGATTCTACAAAAAGATTGTTTACAACCTGATCTATCTATAGGAATGTTCAACTCTGTGAGTCGAATGCAATCATCACAAAGTAGTTTCTGAGAATGCTTCCATCTAGTTTTTATGTGAAGATTTTCCTTTTCCACCACAGGCCTCTAAGCCCTCCAAATGTCCACTTGCAGTTTCTAGAAAAAGAGGGTTTCAGAGCTGCTCTGTCAAGAGGAAAGTTCAATTCTTGAAGTGGAACACAAACATCACAAAGCAGTTTCTGAGAATGCTCCTGTTTAGTTTTTCTGTGAAGATGAACCCGTTTCCAACGAAATCTACACAGAGGTCCACATATCCACTTGCACAATCCAAAGAAAGAGAGTTTCAAAACTGCTCCATCAGCAGGATTGTTCACCTCTGTGAGTTGAATGCAGTCATCACAGGAAACATTCTGAGAATGCTTCTGTCTAGGTTTGATGTGAAGATATACCCGTTTCGAAGGAAGGCCACAAAGTGGTCCAAATATCCACTTGCAGATTCTACAAAAAGAGTGTTTGAAAGCTGAACTATGAAAGCAAGGTTCAACTCTGTGAGTTGAATGCAAACATCACAAAGAAGTTTCTCACAATGCTTCCGTGTAGTTCTAGGAAGTTTATCCCTTTTCCAACGAAATCCTCAGAGAGGTCCAAATATCCACTTGCAGATTCTACAGAAAGTTTGTTTAGAAACTGCTCCATCTAAAGGAATGTTCAGCTCTGTTAGTTCAATCCAATGATCACTAAGAATTGTCTGTGAATGCTTCCGTTTGGTTTTTAGATGAAGTTATTTCCTTTACTACAGTAGGCCTCAAAGCAGTCCAAATCTCCAATCGCAGATTCTACAAAAAGATTGTTTACAACCTGCTCTATCTATAGGAATGTTCAACTCTGTGAGTCGAATGCAATCATCACAAAGTAGTTTCTGAGAATGCTTCCATCTAGTTTTTATGTGAAGATTTTCCTTTTCCACCACAGGCTTCAAAGCCCTCCAAATGTCCACTTGCAGATTCTAGAAAAAGAGGGTTTCAGAGCTGCTCTGTCAAGAGGAAAGTTCAATTCTTGAAGTGGAACACAAACATCACAAAGCAGTTTCTGAGAATACTTCTGTTTAGTTTTTCTGTGAAGATGAACCCGTTTCCAACGAAATCTTCACAGAGGTCCACATATCCACTTGCAGAATCCAAAGAAAGAGAGTTTCAAAACTGCTCCATCAGCAGGATTGTTCACCTCTGTGAGTTGAATGCAGTCATCACAGGAAACATTCTGAGAATGCTTCTGTCTAGGTTTGATGTGAAGATATACCCGTTTCGAAGGAAGGCCACAAAGTGGTCCAAATATCCACTTGCAGATTCTACAAAAGGAGTGTTTGAAAGCTGAACTATGAAAGCAAGGTTCAACTCTGTGAGTTGAATGCAAACATCACAAAGAAGTTTCTCACAATGCTTCCGTGTAGTTCTGGGAAGTTTATCCCGTTTCCAACGAAATCCTCAGAGAAGTCCAAATATCCACTTGCAGATTCTACAGAAAGTGTGTTTGGAAACTGCTCCATCTAAAGGAATGTTCAGCTCTGTTAGTTCAATCCAATGATCACTAAGAATTGTCTGTGAATGCTTCCGTTTGGTTTTTAGATGAAGTTATTTCCTTTACTACAGTAGGCCTCAAAGCAGTCCAAATCTCCAATCGCAGATTCTACAAAAAGATTGTTTACAACCTGCTCTATCTATAGGAATGTTCAACTCTGTGAGTCGAATGCAATCATCACAAAGTAGTTTCTGAGAATGCTTCCATCTAGTTTTTATGTGAAGATTTTCCTTTTCCACCACAGGCCTCAAAGCCCTCCAAATGTCCACTTGCAGATTCTAGAATAAGAGGGTTTCAGAGCTGCTCTGTCAAGAGGAAAGTTCAATTCCTGAAGTGGAACACAAACATCACAAAGCAGTTTCCGAGAATGCTTCTGTTTAGTTTTTCTGTGAAGATGAACCCGTTTCCAACGAAATCTTCACAGAGGTCCACATATCCACTTGCAGAATCCAAAGAAAGAGAGTTTCAAAACTGCTCCATCAGAAGGATTGTTCACCTCTGTGAGTTGAATGCAGTCATCACAGGAAACATTCTGAGAATGCTTCTGTCTAGGTTTGATGTGAAGATATACCCGTTTCGAAGGAAGGCCACAAAGTGGTCCAAATATCCACTTGCAGATTCTACAAAAAGAGTGTTTGAAAGCTGAACTATGAAAGCAAGGTTCAACTCTGTGAGTTGAATGCAAACATCACAAAGAAGTTTCTCAGAATGCTTCCGTGTAGTTCTGGGAAGCATATCCCGTTTCCAACGAAATCCTCAGAGAAGTCCAAATATCCACTTGCAGATTCTACAGAAAGTGGGTTTGGAAACTGCTCCATCTAAAGGAATGTTCAGCTCTGTTAGTTCAATCCAATGATCACTAAGAATTTTCTGTGAATGCTTCCGTTTGGTTTTTAGATGAAGTTATTTCCTTTACTACAGTAGGCCTCAAAGCAGTCCAAATCTCCAATCGCAGATTCTACAAAAAGATTGTTTACAACCTGCTCTGTCTATAGGAATGTTCAACTCTGTGAGTCGAATGCAATCATCACAAAGTAGTTTCTGAGAATGCTTCCATCTAGTTTTTATGTGAAGATTTTCCTTTTCCACCAAAGGCCTCAAAGCCCTCCAAATGTCCACTTGCAGATTCTAGAAAAAGAGGGTTTCAGAGCTGCTCTGTCAAGAGGAAAGTTCAATTCCTGAAGTGGAACACAAACATCACAAAGCAGTTTCTGAGAATGCTCCTGTTTAGTTTTTCTGTGAAGATGAACCCGTTTCCAACGAAATCTTCCCAGAGGTCCACATATCCACTTGCAGAATCCAAAGAAAGAGAGATTCAAAAGTGCTCCATCAACAGGATTGTTCACCTCTGTGAGTTGAATGCAGTCATCACAGGAAACATTCTGAGAATGCTTCTGTCTAGGTTTGATGTGAAGATATACCCGTTTCGAAGGAAGGCCACGAAGTGGTCCAAGTATCCACATGCAGATTCTACAAAAAGAGTGTTTGAAAGCTGAACTATGAAAGCAAGGTTCAACTCTGTGAGTTGAATGCAAACATCACAAAGAAGTTTCTCAGAATGCTTCCGTGTAGTTCTGGGAAGTTTATCCCGTTTCCAACGAAATCCTCAGAGAAGTCCAAATATCCACTTGCAGATTCTACAGAAAGTGTGTTTGGAAACTGCTCCATCTAAAGGAATGTTCAGCTCTGTTAGTTCAATGCAATGATCACTAAGAATTGTCTGTGAATGCTTCCGTTTGGTTTTTAGATGAAGTTATTTCCTTTACTACAGTAGGCCTCAAAGCAGTCCAAATCTCCAATCGCAGATTCTACAAAAAGATTGTTTACAACCTGCTCTATGTATAGGAATGTTCAACTCTGTGAGTCGAATGCAATCATCACAAAGTAGTTTCTGAGAATGCTTCCATCTAGTTTTTATGTGAAGATTTTCCTTTTCCACCACAGGCCTCAAAGCCCTCCAAATGTCCACTTGCAGATTCTAGAAAAAGAGGGTTTCAGAGCTGCTCTGTCAAGAGGAAAGTTCAATTCTTGAAGTGGAACACAAACATCACAAAGCAGTTTCTGAGAATGTTTCTGTTTAGTTTTTCTGTGAAGATGAACCCGTTTCCAACGAAATCTTCACAGAGGTCCACATATCCACTTGCAGAATCCAAAGAAAGAGAGTTTCAAAACTGCTCCATCAACAGGATTGTTCACCTCTGTGAGTTGAATGCAGTCATCACAGGAAACATTCTGAGAATGCTTCTGTCTAGGTTTGATGTGAAGATATACCCGTTTCGAAGGAAGGCCACAAAGTGGTCCAAATATCCACTTGCAGATTCTACAAAAAGAGTGTTTGAAAGCTGAACTATGAAAGCAAGGTTCAACTCTGTGAGTTGAATGCAAACATCACAAAGAATTTTCTCACAATGCTTCCGTGTAGTTCTGGGAAGTTTATCCCGTTTCCAACGAAATCCTCAGAGAAGTCCAAATATCCACTTGCAGATTCTACAGAAAGTGTGTTTGGAAACTGCTCCATCTAAAGGAATGTTCAGCTCTGTTAGTTCAATGCAATGATCACTAAGAATTGTCTGTGAATGCTTCCGTTTGGTTTTTAGATGAAGTTATTTCCTTTACTACAGTAGGCCTCAAAGCAGTCCAAATCTCCAATCGCAGATTCTACAAAAAGATTGTTTACAACCTGCTCTATGTATAGGAATGTTCAACTCTGTGAGTCGAATGCAATCATCACAAAGTAGTTTCTGAGAATGCTTCTATAAAGTTATTATATGAAGATTTTCCTTTTCCACCACAGGCCTCAAAGCCCTCCAAATGTCCACTTGCAGATTCTAGAAAAAGAGGGTTTCAGAGCTGCTCTGTCAAGAGGAAAGTTCAATTCTTGAAGTGGAACACAAACATCACAAAGCAGTTTCTGAGAATGCTTCTGTTTAGTTTTTCTGTGAAGATGAACCCGTTTCCAACGAAATCTTCACATAGGTCCACATATCAACTTGCAGAATCCAAAGAAAGAGAGTTTCAAAACTGCTCCATCAACAGGATTGTTCACCTCTGTGAGTTGAATGCAGTCATCACAGGAAACATTCTGAGAATGCTTCTGTCGAGGTTTGATGTGAAGATATACCCGTTTCGAAGGAAGGCCACAAAGTGGTCCAAATATCCACTTGCAGATTCTACAAAAAGAGTGTTTGAAAGCTGAACTATGAAAGCAAGGTTCAACTCTGTGAGTTGAATGCAAACATCACAAAGAAGTTTCTCAGAATGCTTCCGTGTAGTTCTGGGAAGTTTATCCCGTTTCCAACGAAATCCTCAGAGAGGTCCAAATATCCACTTGCAGATTCTACAGAAAGTGTGTTTGGAAACTGCGCCATCTAAAGGAATGTTCAGCTCTGTTAGTTCAATGCAATGATCACTAAGAATTGTCTGTGAATGCTTCCGTTTGGTTTTTAGATGAAGTTATTTCCTTTACTACAGTAGGCTTCAAAGCAGTCCAAATCTCCAATCGCAGATTCTACAAAAAGATTGTTTACAACCTGCTCTATCTATAGGAATGTTCAACTCTGTGAGTCGAATGCAATCATCACAAAGTAGTTTCTGAGAATGCTTCCATCTAGTTTTTATGTGAAGATTTTCCTTTTCCACCACAGGCCTCAAAGCCCTCCAAATGTCCACTTGCAGATTCTAGAAAAAGAGGGTTTCAGAGCTGCTCTGTCAAGAGGAAAGTTCAATTCCTGAAGTGGAACACAAACATCACAAAGCAGTTTCTGAGAATGCTCCTGTTTAGTTTTTCTGTGAAGATGAACCCGTTTCCAACGAAATCTTCACAGAGGTCCACATATCCACTTGCAGAATCCAAAGAAAGAGAGTTTCAAAACTGCTCCATCACCAGGATTGTTCACCTCTGTGAGTTGAATGCAGTCATCACAGGAAACATTCTGAGAATGCTTCTGTCTAGGTTTGATGTGAAGATATACCCGTTTCGAAGGAAGGCCACAAAGTGGTCCAAATATCCACTTGCAGATTCTACAAAAAGAGTGTTTGAAAGCTGAACTATGAAAGCAAGGTTCAACTCTGTGAGTTGAATGCAAACATCACAAAGAAGTTTCTCAGAATGCTTCCGTGCAGTTCTGGGAAGTTTATTCCGTTTCCAACGAAATCCTCAGAGAAGTCCAAATATCCACTTGCAGATTCTACAGAAAGTGTGTTTGGAAAATGCTCCATCTAAAGGAATGTTCAGCTCTGTTAGTTCAATCCAATGATCACTAAGAATTGTCTGTGAATGCTTCCGTTTGGTTTTTAGATGATGTTATTTCCTTTACTGCAGTAGGCCTCAAAGCAGTCCAAATCTCCAATCGCAGATTCTTCAAAAAGATTGTTTACAACCTGCTCTATCTATAGGAATGTTCAACTCTGTGAGTCGAATGCAATCATCACAGAGTAGTTTCTGAGAATGCTTCCATCTAGTTTTTATGTGAAGATTTTCCTTTTCCACCACAGGCCTCAAAGCCCTCCAAATGTCCACTTGCAGATTCTAGAAAAAGAGGGTTTCAGAGCTGCTCTGTCAAGAGGAAAGTTCAATTCTTGAAGTGGAACACAAACATCACAAAGCAGTTTCTGAGAATGCTCCTGTTTAGTTTTTCTGTGAAGATGAACCCGTTTCCAACGAAATCTTCACAGAGGTCCACATATCCACTTGCAGAATCCAAAGAAAGAGAGTTTCAAAACTGCTCCATCAGCAGGATTGTTCACCTCTGTGAGTTGAATGCAGTCATCACAGGAAACATTCTGAGAATGCTTCTGTCTAGGTTTGATGTGAAGATATACCCGTTTCGAACGAAGGCCACAAAGTGGTCCAAATATCCACTTGCAGATTCTACAAAAAGAGTGTTTGAAAGCTGAACTATGAAAGCAAGGTTCAACTCTGTGAGTTGAATGCAAACATCACAAAGAAGTTTCTCAGAATGCTTCCGTGTAGTTCTGGGAAGTTTAGCCCGTTTCCAACGAAATCCTCAGAGAGTTCCAAATATCCAGTGGCAGATTCTACAGAAAGTGTGTTTGGAAACTGCGCCATCTAAAGGAATGTTCAGCTCTGTTAGTTCAATCCAATGATCACTAAGAATTGTCTGTGAATGCTTCCGTTTGGTTTTTAGATGAAGTTATTTCCTTTACTACAGTAGGCCTCAAAGCAGTCCAAATCTCCAATCGCAGATTCTACAAAAAGATTGTTTACAACCTGCTCTATCTATAGGAATGTTCAACTCTGTGAGTCGAATGCAATCATCACAAAGTAGTTTCTGAGAATGCTTCCATCTAGTTTTTATGTGAAGATTTTCCTTTTCCACCACAGGCCTCAAAGCCCTCCAAATGTCCACTTGCAGATTCTAGAATAAGAGGGTTTCAGAGCTGCTCTGTCAAGAGGAAAGTACAATTCCTGAAGTGGAACACAAACATCACAAAGCAGTTTCTGATAATGCTTCTGTTTAGTTTTTCTGTGAAGATGAACCCGTTTCCAACGAAATCTTCACAGAGGTCCACATATCCACTTGCAGAATCCAAAGAAAGAGAGTTTCAAAACTGCTCCATCAGCAGGATTGTTCACCTCTGTGAGTTGAATGCAGTCATCACAGGAAACATTCTGAGAATGCTTCTGTCTAGGTTTGATGTGAAGATATACCCGTTTCGAAGGAAGGCCAAAAAGTGGTCCAAATATCCACTTGCAGATTCTACAAAAAGAGTGTTTGAAAGCTGAACTATGAAAGCAAGGTTCAACTCTGTGAGTTGAATGCAAACATCACAAAGAAGTTTCTCACAATGCTTCCGTGTAGTTCTGGGAAGTTTATCCCGTTTCCAACGAAATCCTCAGAGAAGTCCAAATATCCACTTGCAGATTCTACAGAAAGTGTGTTTGGAAACTGCTCCATCTAAAGGAATGTTCAGCTCTGTTAGTTCAATCCCATGATCACTAAGAATTGTCTGTGAATGCTTCCATTTTGGTTTTTAGATGAAGTTATTTCCTTTACTACAGTAGGCCTCAAAGCAGTCCAAATCTCCAATCGCAGATTCTACAAAAAGATTGTTTACAACCTGCTCTATCTATAGGAATGTTCAACTCTGTGAGTCGAATGCAATCATCACAAAGTAGTTTCTGAGAATGCTTCCATCTAGTTTTTATGTGAAGATTTTCCTTTTGCACCACAGGCCTCAAAGCCCTCCAAATGTCCACTTGCAGATTCTAGAAAAAGAGGGTATCAGAGCTGCTCTGTCAAGAGGAAAGTTCAATTCTTGATGTGGAACACAAACATCACAAAGCAGTTTCTGAGAATGCTCCTGTTTAGTTTTTCTGTGAAGATGAACCCGTTTCCAACGAAATCTTCACAGAGGTCCACATATCCACTTGCAGAATCCAAAGAAAGAGAGTTTCAAAACTGCTCCATCAGCAGGATTGTTCACCTCTGTGAGTTGAATGCAGTCATCACAGGAAACATTCTGAGAATGCTTCTGTCTAGGTTTGATGTGAAGATGTACCCGTTTCAAAGGAAGGCCACAAAGTGGTCCAAATATCCACTTGCAGATTCTACAAAAAGAGTGTTTGAAAGCTGAACTATGAAAGCAAGGTTCAACTCTGTGAGTTGAATGCAAACATCAGAAAGATGATTCTCACAATGCTTCCGTGTAGTTCTGGGAAGTTTATCCCGTTTCCAACGAAATCCTCAGAGAAGTCCAAATATCCACTTGCAGATTCTACAGAAAGTGTGTTTGGAAACTGCTCCATCTAAAGGAATGTTCAGCTCTGTTAGTTCAATCCAATGATCACTAAGAATTGTCTGTGAATGCTTCCATTTGGTTTTTAGATGAAGTTATTTCCTTTACTACAGTAGGCCTCAAAGCAGTCCAAATCTCCAATCGCAGATTCTACAAAAAGATTGTTTACAACCTGCTCTATCTATAGGAATGTTCAACTCTGTGAGTCGAATGCAATCATCACAAAGTAGTTCCTGAGAATGCTTCCATCTAGTTTTTATGTGAAGATTTTCCTTTTCCACCACAGGCCTCAAAGCCCTCCAAATGTCCACTTGCAGATTCTAGAATAAGAGGGTTTCAGAGCTGCTCTGTCAAGAGGAAAGTTCAATTCCTGAAGTCGAACACAGACATCACACAGCAGTTTCTGAGTATGCTTCTGTTAATTTTTCTGTGAAGATGAACCCGTTTCCAACGAAATCTTCACAGAGGTCCACATATCCACTTCCAGAATCCAAAGAAGGAGAGTTTCAAAACTGCTCCATCAGCAGGATTGTTCACCTCTGTGAGTTGAATGCAGTCATCACAGGAAACATTCTGAGAATGCTTCTGTCTAGGTTTGATGTGAAGATATACCCGTTTCGAAGGAAGGCCAGAAAGTGGTCCAAATATCCACTTGCAGATTCTACAAAAAGAGTGTTTGAAAGCTGAACTATGAAAGCAAGGTTCAACTCTGTGAGTTGAATGCAAACATCACAAAGAAGTTTCTCAGAATGCTTCCGTGTAGTTCTGGGAAGTTTATCCCTTTTCCAACGAAATCCTCAGAGAGGTCCAAATATCCACTTGCAGATTTTACAGAAAGTGTGTTTGGAAACTACGCCATCTAAAGGAATGTTCAGCTCTGTTAGATCAATGCAATGATCACTAAGAATTGTCTGTGAATGCTTCCGTTTGGTTTTTAGATGAAGTTATTTCCTTTACTACAGTAGGCCTCAAAGCAGTCCAAATCTCCAATCGCAGATTCTACAAAAAGATTGTTTACAACCTGCTCTATCTATAGGAATGTTCAACTCTGTGAGTCGAATGCAATCATCACAAAGTAGTTTCTGAGAATGCTTCCATCTAGTTTTTATGTGAAGATTTTCCTTTTCCACCACAGGCCTCAAAGCCCTCCAAATGTCCACTTGCAGATTCTAGAATAAGAGGGTTGCAGAGCTGCTCTGTCAAGAGGAAAGTTCAATTCCTGAAGTGGAACACAAACATCACAAAGCAGTTTCTGAGAATGCTTCTGTTTAGTTTTTCTGTGAAGATGAACCCGTTTCCAACGAAATCTTCACAGAGGTCCACATATCAACTTGCAGAATCCAAAGAAAGAGAGTTTCAAAACTGCTCCATCAACAGGATTGCTCACCTCTGTGAGTTGAATGCAGTCATCACAGGAAACATTCTGAGAATGCTTCTGTCTAGGTTTGATGTGAAGATATACCCGTTTCGAAGGAAGGCCACAAAGTGGTCCAAATATCCACTTGCAGATTCTACAAAAAGAGTGTTTGAAAGCTGAACTATGAAAGCAAGGTTCAACTCTGTGAGTTGAATGCAAACATCACAAAGAAGTTTCTCAGAATGCTTCCGTGTAGTTCTGGGAAGTTTATCCCGTTTCCAAAGAAATCCTCAGAGAGGTCCAAATATCCACTTGCAGATTCTACAGAAAGTGGGTTTGGAAACTGCTCCATCTAAAGGAATGTTCAGCTCTGTTAGTTCAATCCAATGATCACTAAGAATTGTCTGTGAATGCTTCCGTTTGGTTTTTAGATGAAGTTATTTCCTTTACTACAGTAGGCCTCAAAGCAGTCCAAATCTCCAATCGCAGATTCTACAAAAAGATTGTTTACAACCTGCTCTATCTATAGGAATGTTCAACTCTGTGAGTCGAATGCAATCATCACAAAGTAGTTTCTGAGAATGCTTCCATCTAGTTTGTATGTGAAGATTTTCCTTTTCCACCAGAGGCCTCAAAGCCCTCCAAATGTCCACTTGCAGATTCTAGAAAAAGAGGGTTACAGAGCTGCTCTGTCAAGAGGAAAGTTCAATTCCTGAAGTGGAACACAAACATCACAAAGCAGTTTCTGAGAATGCTTCTGTTTAGTTTTTCTGTGAAGATGAACCCGTTTCCAACGAAATCTTCACAGAGGTCCACATATCCACTTGCAGAATCCAAAGAAAGAGAGTTTCAAAACTGCTCCATCAGCAGCATTGTTCACCTCTGTGAGTTGAATGCAGTCATCACAGGAAACATTCTGAGAATGCTTCTGTCTAGGTTTGATGTGAAGATATACCCGTTTCGAAGGAAGGCCACAAAGTGGTCCAAATATCCACTTGCAGATTCTACAAAAGGAGTGTTTGAAAGCTGAACTATGAAAGCAAGGTTCAACTCTGTGAGTTGAATGCAAACATCACAAAGAAGTTTCTCACAATGCTTCCTTGTAGTTCTGGGAAGTTTATCCCGTTTCCAACGAAATCCTCAGAGAAGTCCAAATATCCACTTGCAGATTCTACAGAAAGTGTGTTTGGAAACTGCTCCATCTAAAGGAATGTTCAGCTGTGTTAGTTCAATCCAATGATCACTAAGAATTGTCTGTGAATGCTTCCGTTTGGTTTTTAGATGAAGTTATTTCCTTTACTACAGTAGGCCTCAAAGCAGTCCAAATCTCCAATCGCAGATTCTACAAAAAGATTGTTTACAACCTGCTCTATCTATAGGAATGTTCAACTCTGTGAGTCGAATGCAATCATCACAAAGTAGTTTCTGAGAATGCTTCCATCTAGTTTTTATGTGAAGATTTTCCTTTTGCACCACAGGCCTCAAAGCCCTCCAAATGTCCACTTGCAGATTCTAGAAAAAGAGGGTTTCAGAGCTGCTCTGTCAAGAGGAAAGTTCAATTCTTGATGTGGAACACAAACATCACAAAGCAGTTTCTGAGAATGCTCCTGTTTAGTTTTTCTGTGAAGATGAACCCGTTTCCAACGAAATCTTCACAGAGGTCCACATATCCACTTGCAGAATCCAAAGAAAGAGAGTTTCAAAACTGCTCCATCAGCAGGATTGTTCACCTCTGTGAGTTGAATGCAGTCATCACAGGAAACATTCTGAGAATGCTTCTGTCTAGGTTTGATGTGAAGATATACCCGTTTCGAAGGAAGGCCACAAAGTGGTCCAAATATCCACTTGCAGATTCTACAAAAAGAGTGTTTGAAAGCTGAACTATGAAAGCAAGGTTCAACTCTGTGAGTTGAATGCAAACATCACAAAGAAGTTTCTCACAATGCTTCCGTGTAGTTCTGGGAAGTTTATCCCGTTTCCAACGAAATCCTCAGAGAGGTCCAAATATCCACTTGCAGATTCTACAGAAAGTGTGTTTGGAAACTGCGCCATCTAAAGGAATGTTCAGCTCTGTTAGTTCAATGCAATGATCACTAAGAATTGTCTGTGAATGCTTCCGTTTGGTTTTTAGATGAAGTTATTTCCTTTACTACAGTAGGCCTCAAAGCAGTCCAAATCTCCAATCGCAGATTCTACAAAAAGATTGTTTACAACCTGCTCTATCTATAGGAATGTTCAACTCTGTGAGTCGAATGCAATCATCACAAAGTAGTTTCTGAGAATGCTTCCATCTAGTTTTTATGTGAAGATTTTCCTTTTCCACCACAGGCCTCAAAGCCCTCCAAATGTCCACTTGCAGATTCTAGAATAAGAGGGTTTCAGAGCTGCTCTGTCAAGAGGAAAGTTCAATTCCTGAAGTGGAACACAAACATCACAAAGCAGTTTCTGAGAATGCTTCTGTTTAGTTTTTCTGTGAAGATGAACCCGTTTCCAACGAAATCTACACAGAGGTCCACATATCCACTTGCAGAATCCAAAGAAAGAGAGTTTCAAAACTGCTCCATCAGCAGGATTGTTCACCTCTGTGAGTTGAATGCAGTCATCACAGGAAACATTCTGAGAATGCTTCTGTCTAGGTTTGATGTGAAGATATACCCGTTTCGAAGGAAGGCCACAAAGTGGTCCAAATATCCACTTGCAGATTCTACAAAAAGAGTGTTTGAAAGCTGAACTATGAAAGCAAGGTTCAACTCTGTGAGTTGAATGCAAACATCACAAAGAAGTTTCTCACAATGCTTCCGTGTAGTTCTGGGAAGTTTATCCCGTTTCCAACGAAATCCTCAGAGAGGTCCAAATATCCACTTGCAGATTCTACAGAAAGTGTGTTTGGAAACTGCTCCATCTAAAGGAATGTTCAGCTCTGTTAGTTCAATCCAATGATCACTAAGAATTGTCTGTGAATGCTTCCGTTTGGTTTTTAGATGAAGTTATTTCCTTTACTACAGTAGGCCTCAAAGCAGTCCAAATCTCCAATCGCAGATTCTACAAAAACATTGTTTACAACCTGCTCTATCTATAGGAATGTTCAACTCTGTGAGTCGAATGCAATCATCACAAAGTAGTTTCTGAGAATGCTTCCATCTAGTTTTTATGTGAAGATTTTCCTTTTCCACCACAGGCCTCAAAGCCCTCCAAATGTCCACTTGCAGATTCTAGAATAAGAGGGTTTCAGAGCTGCTCTGTCAAGAGGAAAGTTCAATTCCTGAAGTGGAACACAAACATCACAAAGCAGTTTCTGAGAATGCTTCTGTTTAGTTTTTCTGTGAAGATGAACCCGTTTCCAACGAAATCTTCACAGAGGTCCACATATCCACTTGCAGAATCCAAAGAAAGAGAGTTTCAAAACTGCTCCATCAGCAGGATTGTTCACCTCTGTGAGTTGAATGCAGTCATCACAGGAAACATTCTGAGAATGCTTCTGTCTAGGTTTGATGTGAAGATATAGCCGTTTCGAAGGAAGGCCACAAAGTGGTCCAAATATCCACTTGCAGATTCTACAAAAAGAGTGTTTGAAAGCTGAACTATGAAAGCAAGGTTCAACTCTGTGAGTTGAATGCAAACATCACAAAGAAGTTTCTCAGAATGCTTCCGTGTAGTTCTGGGAAGTTTATCCCTTTTCCAACGAAATCCTCAGATAAGTCCAAATATCCACTTGCAGATTCTACAGAAAGTGTGTTTGGAAACTGCTCCATCTTAAGGAATGTTCAGCTCTGTTAGTTCAATGCAATGATCACTAAGAATTGTCTGTGAATGCTTCCGTTTGGTTTTTAGATGAAGTTATTTCCTTTACTACAGTAGGCCTCAAAGCAGTCCAAATCTCCAATCGCAGATTCTACAAAAAGATTGTTTACAACCTGCTCTATCTATACGAATGTTCAACTCTGTGAGTCGAATGCAATCATCACAAAGTAGTTTCTGAGAATGCTTCCATCTAGTTTTTATGTGAAGATTTTCCTTTTCCACCACAGGCCTCAAAGCCCTCCAAATGTCCACTTGCAGATTCTAGAATAAGAGGGTTTTAGAGCTGCTCTGTCAAGAGGAAAGTTCAATTCCTGAAGTGGAACACAAACATCACAAAGCAGTTTCTGAGAATGCTTCTGTTTAGTTTTTCTGTGAAGATGAACCCGTTTCCAACGAAATCTTCACAGAGGTCTACATATCCAATTGCAGAATCCAAAGAAAGAGAGTTTCAAAACTGTACCATCAACAGGATTGTTCACCTCTGTGAGTTGAATGCAGTCATCACAGGAAACATTCTGAGAATGCTTCTGTCTAGGTTTGATGTGAAGATATACCCGTTTCGAAGGAAGGCCACAAAGTGGTCCAAATATCCACTTGCAGATTCTACAAAAAGAGTGTTTGAAAGCTGAACTATGAAAGCAAGGTTCAACTCTGTGAGTTGAATGCAAACATCACAAAGAAGTTTCTCAGAATGCTTCCGTGTAGTTCTGGGAAGTTTATCCCGTTTCCAACGAAATCCTCAGAGAAGTCCAAATATCCACTTGCAGATTCTACAGAAAGTGTGTTTGGAAACTGCGCCATCTAAAGGAATGTTCAGCTCTGTTAGTTCAATGCAATGATCACTAAGAATTGTCTGTGAATGCTTCCGTTTGGTTTTTAGATGAAGTTATTTCCTTTACTACAGTAGGCCTCAAAGCAGTCCAAATCTCCAATCGCAGATTCTACAAAAAGATTGTTTACAACCTGCTCTATGTATAGGAATGTTCAACTCTGTGAGTCGAATGCAATCATCACAAAGTAGTTTCTGAGAATGCTTCCCTCTAGTTTTTATGTGAAGATTTTCCTTTTCCACCACAGGCCTCAAAGCCCTCCAAATGTCCACTTGCAGATTCTAGAAAAAGAGGGTTTCAGAGCTGCTCTGTCAAGAGGAAAGTTCAATTCCTGAAGTGGAACACAAACATCACAAAGCAGTTTCTGAGAATGCTCCTGTTTAGTTTTTCTGTGAAGATGAACCCGTTTCCAACGAAATCTTCACAGAGGTCCACATATCCACCTGCAGAATCCAAAGAAAGAGAGTTTCAAAACTGCTCCATCAGCAGGATTGTTCACCTCTGTGAGTTGAATGCAGTCATCACAGGAAACATTCTGAGAATGCTTCTGTCTAGGTTTGATGTGAAGATATACCCGTTTCGAAGGAAGGCCACAAAGTGGTCCAAATATCCACTTGCAGATTCTACAAAAAGAGTGTTTGAAAGCTGAACTATGAAAGCAAGGTTCAACTCTGTGAGTTGAATGCAAACATCACAAAGAAGTTTCTCAGAATGCTTCCGTGTAGTTCTGGGAAGTTTATCCCGTTTCCAACGAAATCCTCAGAGAAGTCCAAATATCCACTTGCAGATTCTACAGAAAGTGGGTTTGGAAACTGCTCCATCTAAAGGAATGTTCAGCTCTGTTAGTTCAATCCAATGATCACTAAGAATTGTCTGTGAATGCTTCCGTTTGGTTTTTAGATGAAGTTATTTCCTTTACTACAGTAGGCCTCAAAGCAGTCCAAATCTCCAATCGCAGATTCTACAAAAAGATTGTTTACAACCTGCTCTATCTATAGGAATGTTCAACTCTGTGAGTCGAATGCAATCATCACAAAGTAGTTTCTGAGAATGCTTCCATCTAGTTTTTATGTGAAGATTTTCCTTTTCCACCACAGGCCTCAAAGCCCTCCAAATGTCCACTTGCAGATTCTAGAATAAGAGGGTTGCAGAGCTGCTCTGTCAAGAGGAAAGTTCAATTCCTGAAGTGGAACACAAACATCACAAAGCAGTTTCTGAGAATGCTTCTGTTTAGTTTTTCTGTGAAGATGAACCCGTTTCCAACGAAATCTTCACAGAGGTCCACATATCAACTTGCAGAATCCAAAGAAAGAGAGTTTCAAAAGTGCTCCATCAACAGGATTGTTCACCTCTGTGAGTTGAATGCAGTCATCACAGGAAACATTCTGAGAATGCTTCTGTCTAGGTTTGATGTGAAGATATACCCGTTTCGAAGGAAGGCCACAAAATGGTCCAAATATCCACTTGCAGATTCTACAAAAAGAGTGTTTGAAAGCTGAACTATGAAAGCAAGGTTCAACTCTGTGAGTTGAATGCAAACATGACAAAGATGTTTCTCAGAATGCTTCCGTGTAGTTCTGGGAAGTTTATCCCGTTTCCAACGAAATCCTCAGAGAAGTCCAAATATCCACTTGCAGATTCTACAGAAAGTGTGTTTGGAAACTGCTCCATCTAAAGGAATGTTCAGCTCTGTTAGTTCAATCCAATATCACTAAGAATTATCTGTGAATGCTTCCGTTTGGTTTTTAGATGAAGTTATTTCCTTTACTACAGTAGGCCTCAAAGAAGTCCAAATCTCCAATCGCAGATTCTACAAAAAGATTGTTTACAACCTGCTCTATCTATAGGAATGTTCAACTCTCTGAGTCGAATGCAATCATCACAAAGGAGTTTCTGAGAATGCTTCCATCTAGTTTTTATGTGAAGATTTTCCTTTTCCACCACAGGCCTCAAAGCCCTCCAAATGTCCACTTGCAGATTCTAGAATAAGAGGATTTCAGAGCTGCTCTGTCAAGAGGAAAGTTCAATTCCTGAAGTGGAACACAAACATCACAAAGCAGTTTCTGAGAATGTTTCTGTTTAGTTTTTCTGTGAAGATGAACCCGTTTCCAACGAAATCTTCACAGAGGTCCACATATCCACTTGCAGAATCCAAAGAAAGAGAGTTTCAAAACTGCTCCATCAGCAGGATTGTTCACCTCTGTGAGTTGAATGCAGTCATCACAGGAAACATTCTGAGAATGCTTCTATCTAGGTTTGATGTGAAGATATACCCGTTTCGAAGGAAGACCACAAAGTGGTCCAAATATCCACTTGCAGATTCTACAAAAAGAGTGTTTGAAAGCTGAACTATGAAAGCAAGGTTCAACTCTGTGAGTTGAATGCAAACATCACAAAGAAGTTTCTCACAATGCTTCCGTGTAGTTCTGGGAAGTTTATCCCGTTTCCAACGAAATCCTCAGGGAGGTCCAAATATCCACTTGCAGATTCTACAGAAAGTGTGTTTGGAAACTGCGCCATCTAAAGGAATGTTCAGCTCTGTTAGTTCAATGCAATGATCACTAAGAATTGTCTGTGAATGCTTCCGTTTGGTTTTTAGATGAAGTTATTTCCTTTACTACAGTAGGCCTCAAAGCAGTCCAAATCTCCAATCGCAGATTCTACAAAAAGATTGTTTACAACCTGCTCTATCTATAGGAATGTTCAACTCTGTGAGTCGAATGCAATCATCACAAAGTAGTTTCTGAGAATGCTTCCATCTAGTTTTTATGTGAAGATTTTCCTTTTCCACCACAGGCCTCAAAGCCCTCCAAATGTCCACTTGCAGATTCTAGAAAAAGAGGGTTTCAGAGCTGCTCTGTCAAGAGGAAAGTTCAATTCCTGAAGTGGAACACAAACATCACAAAGCAGTTTCTGAGAATGCTTCTGTTTAGTTTTTCTGTGAAGATGAACCCGTTTCCAACGAAATCTTCACAGAAGTCCACATATCCACTTGCAGAATCCAAAGAAAGAGAGTTTCAAAACTGCTCCATCAACAGGATTGTTCACCTCTGTGAGTTGAATGCAGTCATCACAGGAAACATTCTGAGAATTCTTCTGTCTAGGTTTGATGTGAAGATATACCCGTTTCGAAGGAAGGCCACAAAGTGGTCCAAATATCCACTTGCAGATTCTACAAAAAGAGTGTTTGAAAGCTGAACTATGAAAGCAAGGTTCAACTCTGTGAGTTGAATGCAAACATCACAAAGAAGTTTCTCAGAATGCTTCCGTGTAGTTCTGGGAAGTTTTCCCGTTTCCAACGAAATCCTCAGAGAAGTCCAAATATCCACTTGCAGATTCTACAGAAAGTGTGTTTGGAAACTGCTCCATCTAAAGGAATGTTCAGCTCTGTTAGTTCAATCCAATGATCACTAAGAATTGTCTGTGAATGCTTCCGTTTGGTTTTTAGATGAAGTTATTTCCTTTACTACAGTAGGCCTCAAAGCAGTCCAAATCTCTAATCGCAGATTCTACAAAAACATTGTTTACAACCTGCTCTATCTATAGGAATGTTCAACTCTGTGAGTCGAATGCAATCATCACAAAGTAGTTTCTGAGAATGCTTCCATCTAGTTTTTATGGGAAGATTTTCCTTTTCCACCACAGGCCTCAAAGCCCTCCAAATGTCCACTTGCAGATTCTAGAAAAAGAGGGTTTCAGAGCTGCTCTGTCAAGAGGAAAGTTCAATTCTTGAAGTGGAACACAAACATCACAAAGCAGTTTCTGAGAATGCTCCTGTTTAGTTTTTCTGTGAAGATGAACCCGTTTCCAACGAAATCTTCACAGAGGTCCACATATCCACTTGCAGAATCCAAAGAAAGAGAGTTTCAAAACTGCTCCATCAGCAGGATTGTTCACCTCTGTGAGTTGAATGCAGTCATCACAGGAAACATTCTGAGAATGCTTCTGTCTAGGTTTGATGTGAAGATATACCCGTTTCGAAGGAAGGCCACAAAGTGGTCCAAATATCCACTTGCAGATTCTACAAAAAGAGTGTTTGAAAGCTGAACTATGAAAGCAAGGTTCAACTCTGTGAGTTGAATGCAAACATCCAAAGAAGTTTCTCAGAATGCTTCCGTGTAGTTCTGGGAAGTTTATCCCCTTTCCAACGAAATCCTCAGAGAGGTCCAAATATCCACTTGCAGATTCTACAGAAAGTGTGTTTGGAAACTGCTCCATCTAAAGGAATGTTCAGCTCTGTTAGTTCAATGCAATGATCACTAAGAATTGTCTGTGAATGCTTCCGTTTGGTTTTTAGATGAAGTTATTTCCTTTACTACAGTAGGCCTCAAAGCAGTCCAAATCTCCAATCGCAGATTCTACAAAAAGATTGTTTACAACCTGCTCTATCTATAGGAATGTTCAACTCTGTGAGTCGAATGCAATCATCGCAAAGTAGTTTCTGAGAATGCTTCCATCTAGTTTTTATGTGAAGATTTTCCTTTTCCACACAGGCCTCAAAGCCCTCCAAATGTCCACTTGCAGATTCTAGAAAAAGAGGGTTTCAGAGCTGCTCTGTCAAGAGGAAAGTTCAATTCCTGAAGTGGAACACAAACATCACAAAGCAGTTTCTGAGAATGCTTCTGTTTAGTTTTTCTGTGAAAATGAACCCGTTTCCAACGAAATCTTCACAGAGGTCCACATATCCACTTGCAGAATCCAAAGAAAGAGAGATTCAAAACTGCTCCATCAACAGGATTGTTCACCTCTGTGAGTTGAATGCAGTCATCACAGGAAACATTCTGAGAATGCTTCTGTCTAGGTTTGATGTGAAGATATACCCGTTTCGAAGGAAGGCCACAAAGTGGTCCAAATATCCACTTGCAGATTCTACAAAAAGAGTGTTTGAAAGCTGAACTATGAAAGCAAGGTTCAACTCTGTGAGTTGAATGCAAACATCACAAAGAAGTTTCTCAGAATGCTTCCGTGTAGTTCTGGGAAGTTTATCCCGTTTCCAACGAAATCCTCACAGAGGTCCAAATATCCACTTGCAGATTCTACAGAAAGTGTGTTTGGAAACTGCTCCATCTAAAGGAATGTTCAGCTCTGTTAGTTCAATGCAATGATCACTAAGAATTGTCTGTGAATGCTTCCGTTTGGTTTTTAGATGAAGTTATTTCCTTTACTAGAGTAGGCCTCAAAGCAGTCCAAATCTCCAATCGCAGATTCTACAAAAAGATTGTTTACAACCTGCTCTATCTATAGGAATGTTCAACTCTGTGAGTCGAATGCAATCATCACAAAGTAGTTTCTGAGAATGCTTCCATCTAGTTTTTATGTGAAGATTTTCCTTTTCCACCACAGGCCTCAAAGCCCTCCAAATGTCCACTTGCAGATTCTAGAAAAAGAGGGTTTCAGAGCTGCTCTGTCAAGAGGAAAGTTCAATTCTTGAAGTGGAACACAAACATCACAAAGCAGTTTCTGAGAATGCTTCTGTTTAGTTTTTCTGTGAAGATGAACCCGTTTCCAACGAAATCTTCACAGAGGTCCACATATCCACTTGCAGAATCCAAAGAAAGAGAGTTTCAAAACTGCTCCATCAACAGGATTGTTCACCTCTGTGAGTTGAATGCAGTCATCACAGGAAACATTCTGAGAATGCTTCTGTCTAGGTTTGATGTGAAGATATACCCGTTTCGAAGGAAGGCCACAAAGTGGTCCAAATATCCACTTGCAGATTCTACAAAAAGAGTGTTTGAAAGCTGAACTAAGAAAGCAAGGTTCAACTCTGTGAGTTGAATGCAAACATCACAAAGAAGTTTCTCAGAATGCTTCCGTGTAGTTCTGGGAAGTTTATCCCGTTTCCAACGAAATCCTCAGAGAAGTCCAAATATCCACTTGCAGATTCTACAGAAAGTGTGTTTGGAAACTGCTCCATCTAAAGGAATGTTCAGCTCTGTTAGTTCAATCCAATGATCACTAAGAATTGTCTGTGAATGCTTCCGTTTGGTTTTTAGATGAAGTTATTTCCTTTACTACAGTAGGCCTCAAAGCAGTCCAAATCTCCAATCGCAGATTCTACAAAAAGATTGTTTACAACCTGCTCTATCTATAGGAATGTTCAACTCTGTGAGTCGAATGCAATCATCACAAAGTAGTTTCTGAGAATGCTTCCATCTAGTTTTTATGTGAAGATTTTCCTTTTCCACCACAGGCCTCAAAGCCCTCCAAATGTCCACTTGCAGATTCTAGAAAAAGAGGGTTTCAGAGCTGCTCTGTCAAGAGGAAAGTTCAATTCTTGAAGTGGAACACAAACATCACAAAGCAGTTTCTGAGAATGCTTCTGTTTAGTTTTTCTGTGAAAATGAACCCGTTTCCAACAAAATCTTCACAGAGGTCCACATATCCACTTGCAGAATCCAAAGAAAGAGAGATTCAAAACTGCTCCATCAACAGGATTGTTCACCTCTGTGAGTTGAATGCAGTCATCACAGGAAACATTCTGAGAATGCTTCTGTCTAGGTTTGATGTGAAGATATACCCGTTTCGAAGGAAGGCCACAAAGTGGTCCAAATATCCACTTGCAGATTCTACAAAAAGAGTGTTTGAAAGCTGAACTATGAAAGCAAGGTTCAACTCTGTGAGTTGAATGCAAACATCACAAAGAAGTTTCTCAGAATGCTTCCGTGTAGTTCTGGGAAGTTTATCCCGTTTCCAACGAAATCCTCAGAGAAGTCCAAATATCCACTTGTAGATTCTACAGAAAGTGTGTTTGGAAACTGCTCCATCTAAAGGAATGTTCAGCTCTGTTAGTTCAATCCAATGATCACTAAGAATTGTCTGTGAATGCTTCCGTTTGGTTTTTAGATGAAGTTATTTCCTTTACTACAGTAGGCCTCAAAGCAGTCCAAATCTCCAATCGCAGATTCTACAAAAAGATTGTTTACAACCTGCTCTATCTATAGGAATGTTCAACTCTGTGAGTCGAATGCAATCATCACAAAGTAGTTTCTGAGAATGCTTCCATCTAGTTTTTATGTGAAGATTTTCCTTTTCCACCACAGGCCTCAAAGCCCTCCAAATGTCCACTTGCAGATTCTAGAAAAAGAGGGTTTCAGAGCTGCTCTGTCAAGAGGAAAGTTCAATTCCTGAAGTGGAACACAAACATCACAAAGCAGTTTCTGAGAATGCTCCTGTTTAGTTTTTCTGTGAAGATGAGCACGTTTCCAACGAAATCTTCACAGAGGTCCACATATCCACTTGCAGAATCCAAAGAAAGAGAGTTTCAAAACTGCTCCATCAGCAGGATTGTTCACCTCTGTGAGTTGAATGCAGTCATCACAGGAAACATTCTGAGAATGCTTCTGTCTAGGTTTGATGTGAAGATATACCCGTTTCGAAGGAAGGCCACAAAGTGGTCCAAATATCCACTTGCAGATTCTACAAAAAGAGTGTTTGAAAGCTGAACTATGAAAGCAAGGTTCAACTCTGTGAGTTGAATGCAAACATCACAAAGATGTTTCTCACAATGCTTCCGTGTAGTTCTGGGAAGTTTATCCCGTTTCCAACGAAATCCTCAGAGAAGTCCAAATATCCACTTGCAGATTCTGCAGAAAGTGTGTTTGGAAACTGCTCCATCTAAAGGAATGTTCAGCTCTGTTAGTTCAATCCAATGATCACTAAGAATTGTCTGTGAATGCTTCCGTTTGGTTTTTAGATGAAGTTATTTCCTTTACTACAGTAGGCCTCAAAGCAGTCCAAATCTCCAATCGCAGATTCTACAAAAACATTGTTTACAACCTGCTCTATCTATAGGAATGTTCAACTCTGTGAGTCGAATGCAATCATCACAAAGTAGTTTCTGAGAATGCTTCCATCTAGTTTTTATGTGAAGATTTTCCTTTTCCACCACAGGCCTCAAAGCCCTCCAAATGTCCACTTGCAGATTCTAGAATAAGAGGGTTTTAGAGCTGCTCTGTCAAGAGGAAAGTTCAATTCCTGAAGTGGAACACAAACATCACAAAGCAGTTTCTGAGAATGCTTCTGTTTAGTTTTTCTGTGAAGATGAACCCGTTTCCAACGAAATCTTCACAGAGGTCCACATATCCACTTGCAGAATCCAAAGAAAGAGAGTTTCAAAACTGCTCCATCAGCAGGATTGTTCACCTCTGTGAGTTGAATGCAGTCATCACAGGAAACATTCTGAGAATGCTTCTGTCTAGGTTTGATGTGAAGATATACCCGTTTCGAAGGAAGGCCACAAAGTGGTCCAAATATCCACTTGCAGATTCCACAAAAAGAGTGTTTGAAAGCTGAACTATGAAAGCAAGGTTCAACTCTGTGAGTTGAATGCAAACATCACAAAGAAGTTTCTCAGAATGCTTCCGTGTAGTTCTGGGAAGTTTATCCCGTTTCCAACGAAATCCTCAGAGAAGTCCAAATATCCACTTGCACATTCTACAGAAAGTGTGTTTGGAAACTGCTCCATCTAAAGGAATGTTCAGCTCTGTTAGTTCAATGCAATGATCACTAAGAATTGTCTGTGAATGCTTCCGTTTGGTTTTTAGATGAAGTTATTTCCTTTACTACAGTAGGCCTCAAAGCAGTCCAAATCTCCAATCGCAGATTCTACAAAAAGATTGTTTACAACCTGCTCTATCTATAGGAATGTTCAACTCTGTGAGTCGAATGCAATCATCACAAAGTAGTTTCTGAGAATGCTTCCATCTAGTTTTTATGTGAAGATTTTCCTTTTCCACCACAGGCCTCAAAGCCCTCCAAATGTCCACTTGCAGATTCTAGAAAAAGAGGGTTTCAGAGCTGCTCTGTCAAGAGGAAAGTTCAATTCTTGAAGTGGAACACAAACATCACAAAGTAGTTTCTGAGAATGCTTCTGTATAGTTTTTCTGTGAAGATGAACCCGTTTCCAACGAAATCTTCACAGAGGTCCACATATCAACTTGCAGAATCCAAAGAAAGAGAGTTTCAAAAGTGCTCCATCAACAGGATTGTTCACCTCTGTGAGTTGAATGCAGTCATCACAGGAAACATTCTGAGAATGCTTCTGTCTAGGTTTGATGTGAAGATATACCCGTTTCGAAGGAAGGCCACAAAGTGGTCCAAATATCCACTTGCAGATTCTACAAAAAGAGTGTTTGAAAGCTGAACTATGAAAGCAAGGTTCAACTCTGTGAGTTGAATGCAAACATCACAAAGAAGTTTCTCACAATGCTTCCCTGTAGTTCTGGGAAGTTTATCCCGTTTCCAACGAAATCCTCAGAGAAGTCCAAATATCCACTTGCAGATTCTACAGAAAGTGTGTTTGGAAACTGCTCCATCTAAAGGAATGTTCAGCTGTGTTAGTTCAATGCAATGATCACTAAGAATTGTCTGTGAATGCTTCCGTTTGGTTTTTAGATGAAGTTATTTCCTTTACTACAGTAGGCCTCAAAGCAGTCCAAATCTCCAATCGCAGATTCTACAAAAAGATTGTTTACAACCTGCTCTATCTATAGGAATGTTCAACTCTGTGAGTCGAATGCAATCATCACAAAGTAGTTTCTGAGAATGCTTCCATCTAGTTTTTATGTGAAGATTTTCCTTTTCCACCACAGGCCTCAAAGCCCTCCAAATGTCCACTTGCAGATTCTAGAAAAAGAGGGTTTCAGAGCTGCTCTGTCGAGAGGAAAGTTCAATTCTTGAAGTGGAACACAAACATCACAAAGCAGTTTCTGAGAATGCTCCTGTTTAGTTTTTCTGTGAAGATGAACCCGTTTCCAACGAAATCTTCACAGAGGTCCACATATCCACTTGCAGAATCCAAAGAAAGAGAGTTTCAAAACTGCTCCATCAGCAGGATTGTTCACCTCTGTGAGTTGAATGCAGTCATCACAGGAAACATTCTGCGAATGCTTCTGTCTAGGTTTGATGTGAAGATATACCCGTTTCAAAGGAAGGCCACAAAGTGGTCCAAATATCCACTTGCAGATTCTACAAAAAGAGTGTTTGAAAGCTGAACTATGAAAGCAAGGTTCAACTCTGTGAGTTGAATGCAAACATCACAAAGAAGTTTCTCACAATGCTTCCGTGTAGTTCTGGGAAGTTTATCCCCTTTCCAACGAAATCCTCAGAGAAGTCCAAATATCCACTTGCAGATTCTACAGAAAGTGTGTTTGGAAACTGCTCCATCTAAATGAATGTTCAGCTCTGTTAGTTCAATGCAATGATCACTAAGAATTGTCTGTGAATGCTTCCGTTTGGTTTTTAGATGAAGTTATTTCCTTTACTACAGTAGGCCTCAAAGCAGTCCAAATCTCCAATCGCAGATTCTACAAAAAGATTGTTTACAACCTGCTCTATCTATAGGAATGTTCAACTCTGTGAGTCGAATGCAATCATCACAAAGTAGTTTCTGAGAATGCTTCCATCTAGTTTTTATGTGAAGAGTTTCCTTTTCCACCACAGGCCTCAAAGCCCTCCAAATGTCCACTTGCAGATTCTAGAAAAAGAGGGTTTCAGAGCTGCTCTGTCAAGAGGAAAGTTCAATTCCTGAAGTGGAACACAAACATCACAAAGCAGTTTCTGAGAATGCTCCTGTTTAGTTTTTCTGTGAAGATGAACCCGTTTCCAACGAAATCTTCACAGAGGTCCACATATCCACTTGCAGAATCCAAAGAAAGAGAGTTTCAAAACTGCTCCATCAGCAGGATTGTTCACCTCTGTGAGTTGAATGCAGTCATCACAGGAAACATTCTGAGAATGCTTCTGTCTAGGTTTGATGTGAAGATATACCCGTTTCGAAGGAAGGCCACAAAGTGGTCCAAATATCCACTTGCAGATTCTACAAAAAGAGTGTTTGAAAGCTGAACTATGAAAGCAAGTTTCAACTCTGTGAGTTGAATGCAAACATCACAAAGAAGTTTCTCAGCATGCTTCCGTGTAGTTCTGGGAAGTTTATCCCGATTCCAACGAAATCCTCAGAGAAGTCCAAATATCCACTTGCATATTCTACAGAAAGTGTGTTTGGAAACTGCTCCATCTAAAGGAATGTTCAGCTCTGTTAGTTCAATCCAATGATCACTAAGAATTGTCTGTGAATGCTTCCGTTTGGTTTTTAGATGAAGTTATTTCCTTTACTACAGTAGGCCTCAAAGCAGTCCAAATCTCCAATCGCAGATTCTACAAAAAGATTGTTTACAACCTGCTCTATCTATAGGAATGTTCAACTCTGTGAGTCGAATGCAATCATCACAAAGTAGTTTCTGAGAATGCTTCCATCTAGTTTTTATGGGAAGATTTTCTTTTTTCACCACAGGCCTCAAAGCCCTCCAAATGTCCACTTGCAGATTCTAGAAAAAGAGGGTTTCAGAGCTGCTCTGTCAAGAGGAAAGTTCAATTCCTGAAGTGGAACACAAACATCACAAAGCAGTTTCTGAGAATGCTCCTGTTTAGTTTTTCTGTGAAGATCAACCCGTTTCCAACGAAATCTTCACAGAGTTCCACATATCCACTTGCAGAATCCAAAGAAAGGGAGTTTCAAAACGGCTCCATCAACAGGATTGTTCACCTCTGTGTGTTGAATGCAGTCATCACAGGAAACATTCTGAGAATGCTTCTGTCTAGGTTTGATGTGAAGATATACCCGTTTCGAAGGAAGGCCACAAAGTGGTCCAAATATCCACTTGCAGATTCTACAAAAAGAGTGTTTGAAAGCTGAACTATGAAAGCAAGGTTCAACTCTGTGAGTTGAATGCAAACATCACAAAGAAGTTTCTCAGAATGCTTCCGTGTAGTTCTGGGAAGTTTATCCCGTTTCCAACGAAATCCTCAGAGAGGTCCAAATATCCACTTGCAGATTCTACAGAAAGTGTGTTTGGAAACTACGCCATCTAAAGGAATGTTCAGCTCTGTTAGATCAATGCAATGATCACTAAGAATTGTCTGTGAATGCTTCCGTTTGGTTTTTAGATGAAGTTATTTCCTTTACTACAGTAGGCCTCAAAGCAGTCCAAATCTCCAATCGCAGATTCTACAAAAAGATTGTTTACAACCTGCTCTATCTATAGGAATGTTCAACTCTGTGAGTCGAATGCAATCATCACAAAGTAGTTTCTGAGAATGCTTCCATCTAGTTTTTATGTGAAGATTTTCCTTTTGCACCACAGGCCTCAAAGCCCTCCAAATGTCCACTTGCAGATTCTAGAAAAAGAGGGTATCAGAGCTGCTCTGTCAAGAGGAAAGTTCAATTCTTGATGTGGAACACAAACATCACAAAGCAGTTTCTGAGAATGCTTCTGTTTAGTTTTTCTGTGAAGATGAACCCGTTTCCAACGAAATCTTCACAGAGGTCCACATATCCACTTGCAGAATCCAAAGAAAGAGAGTTTCAAAACTGCTCCATCAGCAGGATTGTTCACCTCGGTGAGTTGAATGCAGTCATCACAGGAAACATTCTGAGAATGCTTCTGTCTAGGTTTGATGTGAAGATATACCCGTTTCGAAGGAAGGCGACAAAGTGGTCCAAATATCCACTTGCAGATTCTACAAAAAGAGTGTTTGAAAGCTGAACTATGAAAGCAAGGTTCAACTCTGTGAGTTGAATGCAAACATCACAAAGAAGTTTCTCAGAATGCTTCCGTGTAGTTCTGGGAAGTTTATCCCGTTTCCAACGAAATCCTCAGAGAGGTCCAAATATCCACTTGCAGATTCTACAGAAAGTGTGTTTGGAAACTGCACCATCTAAAGGAATGTTCAGCTCTGTTAGTTCAATGCAATGATCACTAAGAATTGTCTGTGAATGCTTCCGTTTGGTTTTTAGATGAAGTTATTTCCTTTACTACAGTAGGCCTCAAAGCAGTCCAAATCTCCAATCGCAGATTCTACAAAAAGATTGTTTACAACCTGCTCTATCTATAGGAATGTTCAACTCTGTGAGTCGAATGCAATCATCACAAAGTAGTTTCTGAGAATGCTTCCATCTAGTTTTTATGTGAAGATTTTCCTTTTCCACCACAGGCCTCAAAGCCCTCCAAATGTCCACTTGCAGATTCTAGAATAAGAGGGTTTCAGAGCTGCTCTGTCAAGAGGAAAGTTCAATTCCTGAAGTGGAACACAAACATCACAAAGCAGTTTCTGAGAATGCTTCTGTTTAGTTTTTCTGTGAAGATGAACCCGTTTCCAACGAAATCTTCACAGAGGTCCACATATCAACTTGCAGAATCCAAAGAAAGAGAGTTTCAAAACTGCTCCATCAACAGGATTGTTCACCTCTGTGAGTTGAATGCAGTCATCACAGGAAACATTCTGAGAATGCTTCTGTCTAGGTTTGATGTGAAGATATACCCGTTTCGAAGGAAGGCCACAAAGTGGTCCAAATATCCACTTGCAGATTCTCCAAAAAGAGTGTTTGAAAGCTGAACTATGAAAGCAAGGTTCAACTCTGTGAGTTGAATGCAAACATCCAAAGAAGTTTCTCAGAATGCTTCCGTGTAGTTCTGGGAAGTTTATCCCGTTTCCAACGAAATCCTCAGAGAGGTCCAAATATCCACTTGCAGATTCTACAGAAAGTGTGTTTGGAAACTGCTCCATCTAAAGGAATGTTCAGCTCTGTTAGTTCAATGCAATGATCACTAAGAATTGTCTGTGAATGCTTCCGTTTGGTTTTTAGATGAAGTTATTTCCTTTACTACAGTAGGCCTCAAAGCAGTCCAAATCTCCAATCGCAGATTCTACAAAAAGATTGTTTACAACCTGCTCTATCTATAGGAATGTTCAACTCTGTGAGTCGAATGCAATCATCACAAAGTAGTTTCTGAGAATGCTTCCATCTAGTTTTTATGTGAAGATTTTCCTTTTGCACCACAGGCCTCAAAGCCCTCCAAATGTCCACTTGCAGATTCTAGAAAAAGAGGGTTTCAGAGCTGCTCTGTCAAGAGGAAAGTTCAATTCTTGATGTGGAACACAAACATCACAAAGCAGTTTCTGAGAATGCTCCTGTTTAGTTTTTCTGTGAAGATGAACCCGTTTCCAACGAAATCTTCACAGAGGTCCACATATCCACTTGCAGAATCCAAAGAAAGAGAGTTTCAAAACTGCTCCATCAGCAGGATTGTTCACCTCTGTGAGTTGAATGCAGTCATCACAGGAAACATTCTGAGAATGCTTCTGTCTAGGTTTGATGTGAAGATGTACCCGTTTCAAAGGAAGGCCACAAAGTGGTCCAAATATCCACTTGCAGATTCTACAAAAAGAGTGTTTGAAAGCTGAACTATGAAAGCAAGGTTCAACTCTGTGAGTTGAATGCAAACATCAGAAAGATGATTCTCACAATGCTTCCGTGTAGTTCTGGGAAGTTTATCCCATTTCCAACGAAATCCTCAGAGAAGTCCAAATATCCACTTGCAGATTCTGCAGAAAGTGTGTTTGGAAACTGCTCCATCTAAAGGAATGTTCAGCTCTGTTAGTTCAATCCAATGATCACTAAGAATTGTCTGTGAATGCTTCCGTTTGGTTTTTAGATGAAGTTATTTCCTTTACTACAGTAGGCCTCAAAGCAGTCCAAATCTCCAATCGCAGATTCTACAAAAAGATTGTTTACAACCTGCTCTATCTATAGGAATGTTCAACTCTGTGAGTCGAATGCAATCATCACAAAGTAGTTTCTGAGAATGCTTCCATCTAGTTTTTATGGGAAGATTTTCCTTTTCCACCACAGGCCTCAAAGCCCTCCAAATGTCCACTTGCAGATTCTAGAAAAAGAGGGTTTCAGAGCTGCTCTGTCAAGAGGAAAGTTCAATTCTTGAAGTGGAACACAAACATCACAAAGCAGTTTCTGAGAATGCTCCAGTTTAGTTTTTCTGTGAGGATGAACCCGTTTCCACCGAAATCTTCACAGAGGTCCACATATCCACTTGCAGAATCCAAAGAAAGAGAGTTTCAAAACTGCTCCATCAGCAGGATTGTTCACCTCTGTGAGTTGAATGCAGTCATCACAGGAAACATTCTGAGAATGCTTCTGTCTAGGTTTGATGTGAAGATATACCCGTTTCGAAGGAAGGCCACAAAGTGGTCCAAATATCCACTTGCAGATTCTACAAAAAGAGTGTTTGAAAGCTGAACTATGAAAGCAAGGTTCAACTCTGTGAGTTGAATGCAAACATCACAAAGAAGTTTCTCACAATGCTTCCGTGTAGTTCTGGGAAGTTTATCCCGTTTCCAACGAAATCCTCAGAGAAGTCCAAATATCCACTTGCAGATTCTACAGAAAGTGGGTTTGGAAACTGCTCCATCTAAAGGAATGTTCAGCTCTGTTAGTTCAATGCAATGATCACTAAGAATTGTCTGTGAATGCTTCCGTTTGGTTTTTAGATGAAGTTATTTCCTTTACTACAGTAGGCCTCAAAGCAGTCCAAATCTCCAATCGCAGATTCTACAAAAAGATTGTTTACAACCTGCTCTATCTATAGGAATGTTCAACTCTGTGAGTCGAATGCAATCATCACAAAGTAGTTTCTGAGAATGCTTCTATAAAGTTTTTATGTGAAGATTTTCCTTTTCCACCACAGGCCTCAAAGCCCTCCAAATGTCCACTTGCACATTCTAGAAAAAGAGGGTTTCAGAGCTGCTCTGTCAAGAGGAAAGTTCAATTCTTGAAGTGGAACACAAACATGACAATGCAGTTTCTGAGAATGCTTCTGTTTAGTTTTTCTGTGAAGATGAACCCGTTTCCAACGAAATCTTCACAGAGGTCCACATATCCACTTGCAGAATCCAAAGAAAGAGAGTTTCAAAACTGCTCCATCAGCAGGATTGTTCACCTCTGTGAGTTGAATGCAGTCATCACAGGAAACATTCTGAGAATGCTTCTGTCTAGGTTTGATGTGAAGATATACCCTTTTCAAAGGAAGGCCACAAAGTGGTCCAAATATCCACTTGCAGATTCTACAAAAAGAGTGTTTGAAAGCTGAACTATGAAAGCAAGGTTCAACTCTGTGAGTTGAATGCAAACATCACAAAGAAGTTTCTCACAATGCTTCCGTGTAGTTCTGGGAAGTTTATCCCGTTTCCAACGAAATCCTCAGAGAAGTCCAAATATCCACTTGCAGATTCTACAGAAAGTGGGTTTGGCAACTGCTCCATCTAAAGGAATGTTCAGCTCTGTTAGTTCAATCCAATGATCACTAAGAATTGTCTGTGAATGCTTCCGTTTGGTTTTTAGATGAAGTTATTTCCTTTACTACAGTAGGCCTCAAAGCAATCCAAATCTCCAATCGCAGATTCTACAAAAACATTGTTTACAACCTGCTCTATCTATAGGAATGTTCAACTCTGTGAGTCGAATGCAATCATCACAAAGTAGTTTCTGAGAATGCTTCCATCTAGTATTTATGTGAAGATTTTCCTTTTCCACCACAGGCCTCAAAGCCCTCCAAATGTCCACTTGCAGATTCTAGAAAAAGAGGGTTTCAGAGCTGCTCTGTCAAGAGGAAAGTTCAATTCTTGAAGTGGAACACAAACATCACAAAGCAGTTTCTGAGAATGCTCCTGTTTAGTTTTTCTGTGAAGATGAACCCGTTTCCAACGAAATCTTCACAGAGGTCCACATATCCACTTGCAGAATCCAAAGAAAGAGAGTTTCAAAACTGCTCCATCAGCAGGATTGTTCACCTCTGTGAGTTGAATGCAGTCATCACAGGAAACATTCTGAGAATGCTTCTGTCTAGGTTTGATGTGAAGATATACCCGTTTCGAAGGAAGGCCACAAAGTGGTCCAAATATCCACTTGCAGATTCCACAAAAAGAGTGTTTGAAAGCTGAACTATGAAAGCAAGGTTCAACTCTGTGAGTTGAATGCAAACATCACAAAGAAGTTTCTCACAATGCTTCCGTGTAGTTCTGGGAAGTTTATCCCGTTTCCAACGAAATCCTCAGAGAGGTCCAAATATCCACTTGCAGATTCTACAGAAAGTGTGTTTGGAAACTGCGCCATCTAAAGGAATGTTCAGCTCTGTTAGTTCAATGCAATGATCACTAAGAATTGTCTGTGAATGCTTCCGTTTGGTTTTTAGATGAAGTTATTTCCTTTACTACAGTAGGCCTCAAAGCAGTCCAAATCTCCAATCGCAGATTCTACAAAAACATTGTTTACAACCTGCTCTATCTATAGGAATGTTCAACTCTGTGAGTCGAATGCAATCATCACAAAGTAGTTTCTGAGAATGCTTCCATCTAGTTTTTATGTGAAGATTTTCGTTTTCCACCACAGTCCTCAAAGCCCTCCAAATGTCCACTTGCAGATTCTAGAAAAAGAGGGTTTCAGAGCTGCTCTGTCAAGAGAAAAGTTCTATTCTTGAAGTGGAACACAAACATCACAAAGCAGTTTCTGAGAATGCTTCTGTTTAATTTTTCTGTGAAGATGAACCCGTTTCCAACGAAATCTTCACAGAGGTCCACATATCCACTTGCAGAATCCAAAGAAAGAGAGTTTCAAAACTGCTCCATCAGCAGGATTGTTCACCTCTGTGAGTTGAATGCAGTCATCACAGGAAACATTCTGAGAATGCTTCTGTCTAGGTTTGATGTGAAGATATACCCGTTTCGAAGGAAGGCCACAAAGTGGTCCAAATATCCACTTGCAGATTCTACAAAAAGAGTGTTTGAAAGCTGAACTATGAAAGCAAGGTTCAACTCTGTGAGTTGAATGCAAACATCACAAAGAAGTTTCTCAGAATGCTTCCGTGTAGTTCTGGGAAATTTAGCCCGTTTCCAACGAAATCCTCAGAGAGGTCCAAATATCCACTTGCAGATTCTACAGAAAGTGTGTTTGGAAACTGCTCCATCTAAAGGAATGTTCAGCTCTGTTAGTTCAATCCAATGATCACTAAGAATTGTCTGTGAATGCTTCCGTTTGGTTTTTAGATGAAGTTATTTCCTTTACTACAGTAGGCCTCAAAGCAGTCCAAATCTCCAATCGCAGATTCTACAAAAAGATTGTTTACAACCTGCTCTATCTATAGGAATGTTCAACTCTGTGAGTCGAATGCAATCATCACAAAGTAGTTTCTGAGAATGCTTCCATCTAGTTTTTATGTGAAGATTTTCCTTTTCCACCACAGGCCTCAAAGCCCTCCAAATGTCCACTTGCAGATTCTAGAATAAGAGGATTTCAGAGCTGCTCTGTCAAGAGGAAAGTTCAATTCCTGAAGTGGAACACAAACATCACAAAGCAGTTTCTGAGAATGCTCCTGTTTAGTTTTTCTGTGAAGATGAACCCGTTTCCAACGAAATCTTCAAAGAGTTCCACATATCCACTTGCAGAATCCAAAGAAAGGGAGTTTCAAAACTGCTCCATCAACAGGATTGTTCACCTCTGTGAGTTGAATGCAGTCATCACAGGAAACATTCTGAGAATGCTTCTGTCTAGGTTTGATGTGAAGATATACCCGTTTCGAAGGAAGGCCACAAAGTGGTCCAAATATCCACTTGCAGATTCTACAAAAAGAGTGTTTGAAAGCTGAACTATGAAAGCAAGGTTCAACTCTGTGAGTTGAATGCAAACATCACAAAGAAGTTTCTCAGAATGCTTCCGTGTAGTTCTGGGAAGTTTATCCCGTTTCCAACGAAATCCTCAGAGAAGTCCAAATATCCACTTGCAGATTCTACAGAAAGTGTGTTTGGAAACTGCTCCATGTAAAGGAATGTTCAGCTCTGTTAGTTCAATGCAATGATCACTAAGAATTGTCTGTGAATGCTTCCGTTTGGTTTTTAGATGAAGTTATTTCCTTTACTACAGTAGGCCTCAAAGCAGTCCAAATCTCCAATCGCAGATTCTACAAAAAGATTGTTTACAACCTGCTCTATCTATAGGAATGTTCAACTCTGTGAGTCGAATGCAATCATCACAAAGTAGTTTCTGAGAATGCTTCCATCTAGTTTTTATGTGAAGATTTTCCTTTTCCACCACAGGCCTCAAAGCCCTCCAAATGTCCACTTGCAGATTCTAGAAAAAGAGGGTTTCAGAGCTGCTCTGTCAAGAGGAAAGTTCAATTCTTGAAGTGGAACACAAACATCACAAAGCAGTTTCTGAGAATGCTCCTGTTTAGTTTTTCTGTGAAAATGAACCCGTTTCCAACGAAATCTTCACAGAGTTCAACATATCCACTTGCAGAATCCAAAGAAAGAGAGTTTCAAAACTGCTCCATCAGCAGGATTGTTCACCTCTGTGAGTTGAATGCAGTCATCACAGGAAACATTCTGAGAATGCTTCTGTCTAGGTTTGATGTGAAGATATACCCGTTTCGAAGGAAGGCCACAAAGTGGTCCAAATATCCACTTGCAGATTCTACAAAAAGAGTGTTTGAAAGCTGAACTATGAAAGCAAGGTTCAACTCTGTGAGTTGAATGCAAACATCACAAAGAAGTTTCTCACAATGCTTCCGTGTAGTTCTGGGAAGTTTATCCCGTTTCCAACGAAATCCTCAGAGAGGTCCAAATATCCACTTGCAGATTCTACAGAAAGTGTGTTTTGAAACTGCTCCATCTAAAGGAATGTTCAGCTCTGTTAGTTCAATCCAATGATCACTAAGAATTGTCTGTGAATGCTTCCGTTTGGTTTTTAGATGAAGTAATTTCCTTTACTACAGTAGGCCTCAAAGCAGTCCAAATCTCCAATCGCAGATTCTACAAAAAGATTGTTTACAACCTGCTCTATCTATAGGAATGTTCAACTCTGTGAGTCGAATGCAATCATCACAAAGAAGTTTCTGAGAATGCTTCCATAAAGTTTTTATGTGAAGATTTTCCTTTACCACCACAGGCCTCAAAGCCCTCCAAATGTCCACTTGCAGATTCTAGAAAAAGAGGGTTTCAGAGCTGCTCTGTCAAGAGGAAAGTTCAATTCTTGAAGTGGAACACAAACATCACAAAGCAGTTTCTGAGAATGCTCCTGTTTAGTTTTTCTGTGAAGATGAACCCGTTTCCAACGAAATCTTCACAGAGGTCCACATATCCACTTGCAGAATCCAAAGAAAGAGAGTTTCAAAACTGCTCCATCAGCAGGATTGTTCACCTCTGTGAGTTGAATGCAGTCATCACAGGAAACATTCTGAGAATGCTTCTGTCTAGGTTTGATGTGAAGATATACCCGTTTCGAAGGAAGGCCACAAAGTGGTCCAAATATCCACTTGCAGATTCTACAAAAAGAGTGTTTGAAAGCTGAACTATGAAAGCAAGGTTCAACTCTGTGAGTTGAATGCAAACATCACAAAGAAGTTTCTCAGAATGCTTCCGTGTAGTTCTGGGAAGTTTATCCCGTTTCCAACGAAATCCTCAGAGAGGTCCAAATATCCACTTGCAGATTCTACAGAAAGTGTGTTTGGAAACTGCGCCATCTAAAGGAATGTTCAGCTCTGTTAGTTCAATGCAATGATCACTAAGAATTGTCTGTGAATGCTTCCGTTTGGTTTTTAGATGAAGTTATTTCCTTTACTACAGTAGGCCTCAAAGCAGTCCAAATCTCCAATCGCAGATTCTACAAAAAGATTGTTTACAACCTGCTCTATCTATAGGAATGTTCAACTCTGTGAGTCGAATGCAATCATCACAAAGTAGTTTCTGAGAATGCTTCCATCTAGTTTTTATGGGAAGATTTTCCTTTTCCACCACAGGCCTCAAAGCCCTCCAAATGTCCACTTGCAGATTCTAGAAAAAGAGGGTTTCAGAGCTGCTCTGTCAAGAGGAAAGTTCAATTCTTGAAGTGGAACACAAACATCACAAAGCAGTTTCTGAGAATGCTCCTGTTTAGTTTTTCTGTGAAGATGAACCCGTTTCCAACGAAATCTTCACAGAGGTCCACATATCCACTTGCAGAATCCAAAGAAAGAGAGTTTCAAAACTGCTCCATCAGCAGGATTGTTCACCTCTGTGAGTTGAATGCAGTCATCACAGGAAACATTCTGAGAATGCTTCTGTCTAGGTTTGATGTGAAGATATACCCGTTTCGAAGGAAGGCCACAAAGTGGTCCAAATATCCACTTGCAGATTCCACAAAAAGAGTGTTTGAAAGCTGAACTATGAAAGCAAGGTTCAACTCTGTGAGTTGAATGCAAACATCACAAAGAAGTTTCTCACAATGCTTCCGTGTAGTTCTGGGAAGTTTATCCCGTTTCCAACGAAATCCTCAGAGAAGTCCAAATATCCACTTGCAGATTCTACAGAAAGTGTGTTTGGAAACTGCTCCATCTAAAGGAATGTTCAGCTCTGTTAGTTCAATCCAATGATCACTAAGAATTGTCTGTGAATGCTTCCGTTTGGTTTTTAGATGAAGTTATTTCCTTTACTACAGTAGGCCTCAAAGCAGTCCAAATCTCCAATCGCAGATTCTACAAAAAGATTGTTTACAACCTGCTCTATCTATAGGAATGTTCAACTCTGTGAGTCGAATGCAATCATCACAAAGTAGTTTCTGAGAATGCTTCCATCTAGTTTTTATGGGAAGATTTTCCTTTTCCACCACAGGCCTCAAAGCCCTCCAAATGTCCACTTGCAGATTCTAGAAAAAGAGGGTTTCAGAGCTGCTCTGTCAAGAGGAAAGTTCAATTCTTGAAGTGGAACACAAACATCACAAAGCAGTTTCTGAGAATGCTTCTGTTTAGTTTTTCTGTGAAGATGAACCCGTTTCCAACGAAATCTTCACAGAGGTCCACATATCCACTTGCAGAATCCAAAGAAAGAGAGTTTCAAAACTGCTCCATCAACAGGATTGTTCACCTCTGTGAGTTGAATGCAGTCATCACAGGAAACATTCTGAGAATGCTTCTGTCTAGGTTTGATGTGAAGATATACCCGTTTAGAAGGAAGGCCACAAAGTGGTCCAAATATCCACTTGCAGATTCTACAAAAAGAGTGTTTGAAAGCTGAACTATGAAAGCAAGGTATCAACTCTGTGAGTTGAATGCAAACATCACAAAGAAGTTTCTCAGAATGCTTCCGTGTAGTTCTGGGAAGTTTATCCCGTTTCCAACGAAATCCTCAGAGAAGTCCAAATATCCACTTGCAGATTCTACAGAAAGTGTGTTTGGAAACTGCTCCATCTAAAGGAATGTTCAGCTCTGTTAGTTCAATCCAATGATCAGTAAGAATTGTCTGTGAATGCTTCCGTTTGGTTTTTAGATGAAGTTATTTCCTTTACTACAGTAGGCCTCAAAGCAGTCCAAATCTCCAATCGCAGATTCTACAAAAAGATTGTTTACAACCTGCTCTATGTATAGGAATGTTCAACTCTGTGAGTCGAATGCAATCATCACAAAGTAGTTTCTGAGAATGCTTCCATCTAGTTTTTATGTGAAGATTTTCCTTTTCCACCACAGGCCTCAAAGCCCTCCAAATGTCCACTTGCAGATTCTAGAATAAGAGGGTTTCAGAGCTGCTCTGTCAAGAGGAAAGTTCAATTCCTGAAGTCGAACACAAACATCACAAAGCAGTTTCTGAGAATGCTTCTGTTTAGTTTTTCTGTGAAGATGAACCCGTTTCCAACGAAATCTTCACAGTGGTCCACATATCAACTTGCAGAATCCAAAGAAAGAGAGTTTCAAAACTGCTCCATCAACAGGATTGTTCACCTCTGTGAGTTGAATGCAGTCATCACAGGAAACATTCTGAGAATGCTTCTGTCTAGGTTTGATGTGAAGATATACCCGTTTCGAAGGAAGGCCACAAAGTTGTCCAAATATCCACTTGCAGATTCTACAAAAAGAGTGTTTGAAAGCTGAACTATGAAAGCAAGGTTCAACTCTGTGAGTTGAATGCAAACATCACAAATAAGTTTCTCAGCATGCTTCCGTGTAGTTCTGGGAAGTTTATCCCGTTTCCAACGAAATCCTCAGAGAGGTCCAAATATCCACTTGCAGATTCTACAGAAAGTGGGTTTGGAAACTGCGCCATCTAAAGCAATGTTCAGCTCTGTTAGTTCAATGCAATGATCACTAAGAATTGTCTGTGAATGCTTCCGTTTGGTTTTTAGATGAAGTTATTTCCTTTACTACAGTAGGCCTCAAAGCAGTCCAAATCTCCAATCGCAGATTCTACAAAAAGATTGTTTACAACCTGCTCTATCTATAGGAATGTTCAACTCTGTGAGTCGAATGCAATCATCACAAAGTAGTTTCTGAGAATGCTTCCATCTAGTTTTTATGTGAAGATTTTTCCTTTTCCACCACAGGCCTCAAATCCCTCCAAATGTCCACTTGCAGATTCTAGAAAAAGAGGGTTTCAGAGCTGCTCTGTCAAGAGGAAATTTCAATTCTTGAAGTGGAACACAAACATCACAAAGCAGTTTCTGAGAATGCTTCTGTTTAGTTTTTCTGTGAAGATGAACCCGTTTCCAACGAAATCTTCACAGAGGTCCACATATCCACTTGCAGAATCCAAAGAAAGAGAGTTTCAAAACTGCTCCATCAGCAGGATTGTTCACCTCTGTGAGTTGAATGCAGTCATCACAGGAAACATTCTGAGAATGCTTCTGTCTAGGTTTGATGTGAAGATATACCCGTTTCGAAGGAAGGCCACAAAGTGGTCCAAATATCCACTTGCAGATTCTACAAAAAGAGTGTTTGAAAGCTGAACTATGAAAGCAAGGTTCAACTCTGTGAGTTGAATGCAAACATCACAAAGAAGTTTCTCAGAATGCTTCTGTGTAGTTCTGGGAAGTTTATAACGTTTCCAACGAAATCCTCAGAGAGGTCCAAATATCCACTTGCAGATTCTACAGAAAGTGTGTTTGGAAACTACGCCATCTAAAGGAATGTTCAGCTCTGTTAGATCAATGCAATGATCACTAAGAATTGTCTGTGAATGCTTCCGTTTGGTTTTTAGATGAAGTTATTTCCTTTACTACAGTAGGCCTCAAAGCAGTCCAAATCTCCAATCGCAGATTCTACAAAAAGATTGTTTACAACCTGCTCTATCTATAGGAATGTTCAACTCTGTGAGTCGAATGCAATCATCACAAAGTAGTTTCTGAGAATGCTTCCATCTAGTTTTTATGTGAAGATTTTCCTTTTCCACCACAGGCCTCAAAGCCCTCCAAATGTCCACTTGCAGATTCTAGAAAAAGAGGGTTTCAGAGCTGCTCTGTCAAGAGGAAAGTTCAATTCTTGAAGTGGAACACAAACATCACAAAGCAGTTTCTGAGAATGCTCCTGTTTAGTTTTTCTGTGAAGATGAACCCGTTTCCAACGAAATCTTCACAGAGGTCCACATATCCACTTGCAGAATCCAAAGAAAGAGAGTTTCAAAACTGCTCCAACAGCAGGATTGTTCACCTCTGTGAGTTGAATGCAGTCATCACAGGAAACATTCTGAGAATGCTTCTGTCTATGTTTGATGTGAAGATATACCCGTTTCGAAGGAAGTCCACAAAGTGGTCCAAATATCCACTTGCAGATTCTACAAAAAGAGTGTTTGAAAGCTGAACTATGAAAGCAAGGTTCAACTCTGTTAGTTGAATGCAAACATCACAAAGAAGTTTCTCAGAATGCTTCCGTGTAGTTCTGGGAAGTTTATCCCGTTTCCAACGAAATCCTCAGAGAGGTCCAAATATCCAATTGCAGATTCTGACAAGAAAGTGTGTTTGGAAACTGCGCCATCTAAAGGAATGTTCAGCTCTGTTAGTTCAATGCAATGATCACTAAGAATTGTCTGTGAATGCTTCCGTTTGGTTTTTAGATGAAGTTATTTCCTTTACTACAGTAGGCCTCAAAGCAGTCCAAATCTCCAATCGCAGATTCTACAAAAAGATTGTTTACAACCTGCTCTATCTATAGGAATGTTCAACTCTGTGAGTCGAATGCAATCATCACAAAGTAGTTTCTGAGAATGCTTCCATCTAGTTTTTATGTGAAGATTTTCCTTTTCCACCACAGGCCTCAAAGCCCTCCAAATGTCCACTTGCAGATTGTAGAAAAAGAGGGTTTCAGAGCTGCTCTGTCAAGAGGAAAGTTCAATTCTTGAAGTGGAACACAAACATCACAAAGTAGTTTCTGAGAATGCTTCTGTTTAGTTTTTCTGTGAAGATGAAACCGTTTCCAACGAAATCTTCACAGAGGTCCACATATCAACTTGCAGAATCCAAAGAAAGAGAGTTTCAAAAGTGCTCCATCTACAGGATTGTTCACCTCAGTGAGTTGAATGCAGTCATCACAGGAAACATTCTGAGAATGCTTCTGTCTAGGTTTGATGTGAAGATATACCCGTTTCGAAGGAAGGCCACAAAGTGGTCCAAATATCCACTTGCAGATTCTACAAAAAGAGTGTTTGAAAGCTGAACTATGAAAGCAAGGTTCAACTCTGTGAGTTGAATGCAAACATCACAAAGAAGATTCTCAGAATGCTTCCCTGTAGTTCTGGGAAGTTTATCCCGTTTCCAACGAAATCCTCAGAGAAGTCCAAATATCCACTTGCAGATTCTACAGAAAGTGGGTTTGGAAACTGCTCCATCTAAAGGAATGTTCAGCTCTGTTAGTTCAATCCAATGATCACTAAGAATTGTCTGTAAATGCTTCCGTTTGGTTTTTAGATGAAGTTATTTCCTTTACTACAGTAGGCCTCAAAGCAGTCCAAATCTCCAATCGCAGATTCTACAAAAAGATTGTTTACAACCTGCTCTATCTATAGGAATGTTCAACTCTGTGAGTCGAATGCCATCATCACAAAGTAGTTTCTGAGAATGCTTCCATCTAGTTTTTATGTGAAGATTTTCCTTTTCCACCACAGGCCTCAAATCCCTCCAAATGTCCACTTGCAGATTCTAGAATAAGAGGGTTTCAGAGCTGCTCTGTCAAGAGGAAAGTTCAATTCTTGAAGTGGAACACAAACATCACAAAGCAGTTTCTGAGAATGCTCCTGTTTAGTTTTTCTGTGAAGATGAACCCGTTTCCAACGAAATCTTCACAGAGGTCAACATATCCACTTGCAGAATCCAAAGAAAGAGAGTTTCAAAACTGCTCCATCAGCAGGATTGTTCACCTTTGTGAGTTGAATGCAGTCATCACAGGAAACATTCTGAGAATGCTTCTGTCTAGGTTTGATGTGAAGATATACCCGTTTCGAAGGAAGGCCACAAAGTGGTCCAAATATCCACTTGCAGATTCTACAAAAAGAGTGTTTGAAAGCTGAACTATGAAAGCAAGGTTCAACTCTGTGAGTTGAATGCAAACATCACAAAGAAGTTTCTCACAATGCTTCCGTGTAGTTCTGGGAAGTTTATCCCGTTTCCAACGAAATCCTCAGAGAGGTCCAAATATCCACTTGCAGATTCTACAGAAAGTGTGTTTGGAAACTGCGCCATCTAAAGGAATGTTCAGCTCTGTTAGTTCAATGCAATGATCACTAAGAATTGTCTGTGAATCCTTCCGTTTGGTTTTTAGATGAAGTTATTGCCTTTACTACAAGTAGGCCTCAAAGCAGTCCAAATCTCCAATCGCAGATTCTACAAAAAGATTGTTTACAACCTGCTCTATCTATAGGAATGTTCAACTCTGTGAGTCGAATGCAATCATCACAAAGTAGTTTCTGAGAATGCTTCCATCTAGTTTTTATGTGAAGATTTTCCTTTTCCACCACAGGCCTCAAAGCCCTCCAAATGTCTACTTGCAGATTCTAGAAAAAGAGGGTTTCAGAGCTGCTCTGTCAAGAGGAAAGTTCAATTCCTGAAGTGGAACACAAACATCACAAAGCAGTTTCTGAGAATGCTTCTGTTTAGTTTTTCTGTGAAGATGAACCCGTTTCCAACGAAATCTTCACAGAGGTCCACATATCCACTTGCAGAATCCAAAGAAAGAGAGTTTCAAAACTGCTCCATCAACAGGATTGTTCACCTCTGTGAGTTGAATGCAGTCATCACAGGAAACATTCTGAGAATGCTTCTGTCTAGGTTTGATGTGAAGATATACCCGTTTCGAAGGAAGGCCACAAAGTGGTCCAAATATCCACTTGCAGATTCTACAAAAAGAGTGTTTGAAAGCTGAACTATGAAAGCAAGGTTCAACTCTGTGAGTTGAATGCAAACATCACAAAGAAGTTTCTCACAATGCTTCCGTGTAGTTCTGGGAAGTTTATCCCGTTTCCAACGAAATCCTCAGAGAAGTCCAAATATCCACTTGCAGATTCTACAGAAAGTGTGTTTGGAAACTGCGCCATCTAAAGGAATGTTCAGCTCTGTTAGTTCAATGCAATGATCACTAAGAATTGTCTGTGAATGCTTCCGTTTGGTTTTTAGATGAAGTTATTTCCTTTACTACAGTAGGCCTCAAAGCAGTCCAAATCTCCAATCGCAGATTCTACAAAAAGATTGTTTACAACCTGCTCTATCTATAGGAATGTTCAACTCTGTGAGTCGAATGCAATCATCACAAAGTAGTTTCTGAGAATGCTTCCGTCTAGTTTTTATGTGAAGAGTTTCCTTTTCCACCACAGGCCTCAAAGCCCTCCAAATGTCCACTTGCAGATTCTAGAAAAAGAGGGTTTCAGAGCTGCTCTGTCAAGAGGAAAGTTCAATTCCTGAAGTGGAACACAAACATCACAAAGCAGTTTCTGAGAATGCTCCTGTTTAGGTTTTCTGTGAAGATGAACCCGTTTCCAACGAAATCTTCACAGAGGTCCACATATCCACTTGCAGAATCCAAAGAAAGAGAGTTTCAAAACTGCTCCATCAGCAGGATTGTTCACCTCTGTGAGTTGAATGCAGTCATCACAGGAAACATTCTGAGAATGCTTCTGTCTAGGTTTGATGTGAAGATATACCCGTTTCGAAGGAAGGCCACAAAGTGGTCCAAATATCCACTTGCAGATTCTACAAAAAGAGTGTTTGAAAGCTGAACTATGAAAGCAAGGTTCAACTCTGTGAGTTGAATGCAAACATCACAAAGAAGTTTCTCCGAATGCTTCCCTGTAGTTCTGGGAAGCATATCCCGTTTCCAACGAAATCCTCAGAGAAGTCCAAATATCCACTTGCTGATTCTACAGAAAGTGTGTTTGGAAACTGCGCCATCTGAAGGAATGTTCAGCTCTGTTAGTTCAATGCAATGATCACTAAGAATTGTCTGTGAATGCTTCCGTTTGGTTTTTAGATGAAGTTATTTCCTTTACTACAGTAGGCCTCAAAGCAGTCCAAATCTCCAATCGCAGATTCTACAAAAAGATTGTTTACAACCTGCTCTATCTATAGGAATGTTCAACTCTGTGAGTCGAATGCAATCATCACAAAGTAGTTTCTGAGAATGCTTCCATCTAGTTTTTATGTGAAGATTTTCCTTTTGCACCACAGGCCTCAAAGCCCTCCAAATGTCCACTTGCAGATTCTAGAAAAAGAGGGTTTCAGAGCTGCTCTGTCAAGAGGAAAGTTCAATTCTTGATGTGGAACACAAACATCACAAAGCAGTTTCTGAGAATGCTCCTGTTTAGTTTTTCTGTGAAGATGAACCCGTTTCCAACGAAATCTTCACAGAGGTCCACATATCCACTTGCAGAATCCAAAGAAAGAGAGTTTCAAAACTGCTCCATCAGCAGGATTGTTCACCTCTGTGAGTTGAATGCAGTCATCACAGGAAACATTCTGAGAATGCTGCTGTCTAAGTTTGATGTGAAGATATACCCGTTTCGAAGGAAGGACACAAAGTGGTCCAAATATCCACTTGCAGATTCTACAAAAAGAGTGTTTGAAAGCTGAACTATGAAAGCAAGGATCATCTCTGTGAGTTGAATGCAAACATCACAAAGAAGTTTCTCAGAATGCTTCCGTGTAGTTCTGGGAAGTTTATCCCGTTTCCAACGAAATCCTCAGAGAAGTCTAAATATCCACTTGCAGATTCTACAGAAAGTGTGTTTGGAAACTGCTCCATCTAAAGGAATGTTCAGCTCTGTTAGTTCAATGCAATGATCACTAAGAATTGTCTGTGAATGCTTCCGTTTGGTTTTTAGATGAAGTTATTTCCTTTACTACAGTAGGCCTCAAAGCAGTCCAAATCTCCAATCGCAGATTCTACAAAAAGATTGTTTACAACCTGCTCTATCTATAGGAATGTTCAACTCTGTGAGTCGAATACAATCATCACAAAGCAGTTTCTGAGAATGCTTCCATCTAGTTTTTATGTGAAGATTTTCCTTTTCCACCACAGGCCTCAAAGCCCTCCAAATGTCCACTTGCAGATTCTAGAAAAAGAGGGTTTCAGAGCTGCTCTGTCAAGAGGAAAGTTCAATTCTTGAAGTGGAACACAAACATCACAAAGCAGTTTCTGAGAATGCTTCTGTTTAGTTTTTCTGTGAAGATGAACCCGTTTCCAACGAAATCTTCACAGAGGTCCACATATCAACTTGCAGAATCCAAAGAAAGAGAGTTTCAAAAGTGCTTCATCAACAGGATTGTTCACCTCTGTGAGTTGAATGCAGTCATCACAGGAAACATTCTGAGAATGCTTCTGTCTAGGTTTGATGTGAAGATATACCCGTTTCGAAGGAAGGCCACAAAGTGGTCCAAATATCCACTTGCAGATTCTACAAAAAGAGTGTTTGAAAGCTGAACTATGAAAGCAAGGTTCAACTCCTGTGAGTGGAATGCAAACATCACAAAGAAGTTTCTCAGCATGCTTCCGTGTAGTTCTGGGAAGTTTATCCCGTTTCCAACGAAATCCTCAGAGAAGTCCAAATATCCACTTGCAGATTCTACAGAAAGTGTGTTTGGAAACTGCTCCATCTAAAGGAATGTTCAGCTCTGTCAGTTCAATGCAATGATCACTAAGAATTGTCTGTGAATGCTTCCGTTTGGTTTTTAGATGAAGTTATTTCCTTTACTACAGTAGGCCTCAAAGCAGTCCAAATCTCCAATCGCAGATTCTACAAAAAGATTGTTTACAACCTGCTCTATCTATAGGAATGTTCAACTCTGTGAGTCGAATGCAATCATCACAAAGTAGTTTCTGAGAATGCTTCCATCTAGTTTTTATGTGAAGATTTTCCTTTTCCACCACAGGCCTCAAAGCCCTCCAAATGTCCACTTGCAGATTCTAGAATAAGAGGGTTTCAGAGCTGCTCTGTCAAGAGGAAAGTTCAATTCCTGAAGTGGAACACAAACTTCACAAAGCAGTTTCTGAGAATGTTTCTTTTTAGTTTTTCTGGGAAGATGAACCCGTTTCCAACCAAATCTTCACAGAGGTCCACATATCCACTTGCAGAATCCAAAGAAAGAGAGTTTCAAAACTGCTCCATCAACAGGATTGTTCACCTCTGTGAGTTGAATGCAGTCATCACAGGAAACATTCTGAGAATTCTTCTGTCTAGGTTTGATGTGAAGATATACCCGTTTCGAAGGAAGGCCACAAAGTGGTCCAAATATCCACTTGCAGATTCTACAAAAAGAGTGTTTGAAAGCTGAACTATGAAAGCAAGGTTCAACTCTGTGAGTTGAATGCAAACATCACAAAGAAGTTTCTCAGAATGCTTCCGTGTAGTTCTGGGAAGTTTTCCCGTTTCCAACGAAATCCTCAGAGAAGTCCAAATATCCACTTGCAGATTCTACAGAAAGTGTGTTTGGAAACTGCTCCATCTAAAGGAATGTTCAGCTCTGTTAGTTCAATCCAATGATCACTAAGAATTGTCTGTGAATGCTTCCGTTTGGTTTTTAGATGAAGTTATTTCCTTTACTACAGTAGGCCTCAAAGCAGTCCAAATCTCCAATCGCAGATTCTACAAAAAGATTGTTTACAACCTGCTCTATCTATAGGAATGTTCAACTCTGTGAGTCGAATGCAATCATCACAAAGTAGTTTCTGAGAATGCTTCCATCTAGTTTTTATGTGAAGATTTTCCTTTTCCACCACAGGCATCAAAGCCCTCCAAATGTGCACTTGCAGATTCTAGAAGAAGAGGGTTTCAGAGCTGCTCTGTCAAGAGGAAAGTTCAATTCCTGAAGTGGAACACAAACATCACAAAGCAGTTTCTGAGAATGCTCCTGTTTAGTTTTTCTGTGAAGATGAACCCGTTTCCAACGAAATCTACACAGAGGTCCACATATCCACTTGCAGAATCCAAAGAAAGAGAGTTTCAAAACTGCTCCATCAGCAGGATTGTTCACCTCTGTGAGTTGAATGCAGTCATCACAGGAAACATTCTGAGAATGCTTCTGTCTAGGTTTGATGTGAAGATATACCCGTTTCGAAGGAAGGCCACAAAGTGGTCCAAATATCCACTTGCAGATTCTACAAAAAGAGTGTTTGAAAGCTGAACTATGAAAGCAAGGTTCAACTCTGTGAGTTGAATGCAAACATCACAAAGAAGTTTCTCACAATGCTTCCGTGTAGTTCTGGGAAGTTTATCCCGTTTCCAACGAAATCCTCAGAGAAGTCCAAATATCCACTTGCAGATTCTACAGAAAGTGGGTTTGGAAACTGCTCCATCTAAAGGAATGTTCAGCTCTGTTACTTCAATCCAATGATCACTAAGAATTGTCTGTGAATGCTTCCGTTTGATTTTTAGATGAAGTTATTTCCTTTACTACAGTAGGCCTCAAAGCAGTCCAAATCTCCAATCGCAGATTCTACAAAAAGATTGTTTACAACCTGCTCTATCTATAGGAATGTTCAACTCTGTGAGTCGAATGCAATCATCACAAAGTAGTTTCTGAGAATGCTTCCATCTAGTTTTTATGTGAAGATTTTCCTTTTCCACCACAGGCCTCAAAGCCCTCCAAATGTCCACTTGCAGATTCTAGAATAAGAGGGTTTCAGAGCTGCTCTGTCAAGAGGAAAGTTCAATTCCTGAAGTGGAACACAAACATCACAAAGCAGTTTCTGAGAATGCTTCTGTTTAGTTTTTCTGTGAAGATGAACCCGTTTCCAACGAAATCTTCACAGAGGTCCACATATCCACTTGCAGAATCCAAAGAAAGAGAGTTTCAAAACTGCTCCATCAGCAGGATTGTTCACCTCTGTGAGTTGAATGCAGTCATCACAGGAAACATTCTGAGAATGCTTCTGTCTAGGTTTGATGTGAAGATATACCCGTTTCGAAGGAAGGCCACAAAGTGGTCCAAATATCCACTTGCAGATTCTACAAAAAGAGTGTTTGAAAGCTGAACTATGAAAGCAAGGTTCAACTCTGTGAGTTGAATGCAAACATCACAAAGAAGTTTCTCACAATGCTTCCGTGTAGTTCTGGGAAGTTTATCCCGTTTCCAACGAAATCCTCAGAGAGGTCCAAATATCCACTTGCAGATTCTACAGAAAGTGTGTTTGGAAACTGCTCCATCTAAAGGAATGTTCAGCTCTGTTAGTTCAATCCAATGATCACTAAGAATTGTCTGTGAATGCTTCCGTTTGGTTTTTAGATGAAGTTATTTCCTTTACTACAGTAGGCCTCAAAGCAGTCCAAATCTCCAATCGCAGATTCTACAAAAAGATTGTTTACAACCTGCTCTATGTATAGGAATGTTCAACTCTGTGAGTCGAATGCAATCATCACAAAGTAGTTTCTGAGAATGCTTCCATCTAGTTTTTATGTGAAGATTTTCCTTTTCCACCAGAGGCCTCAAAGCCCTCCAAATGTCCACTTGCAGATTCTAGATAAAGAGGGTTTCAGAGCTGCTCTGTCAAGAGGAAAGTTCAATTCCTGAAGTGGAACACAAACATCACAAAGCAGTTTCTGAGAATGCTTCTGTTTAGTTTTTCTGTGAAGATGAACCCGTTTCCAACGAAATCTTCACAGAGGTCCACATATCCACTTGCAGAATCCAAAGAAAGAGAGTTTCAAAACTGCTCCATCAGCAGGATTGTTCACCTCTGTGAGTTGAATGCAGTCATCACAGGAAACATTCTGAGAATGCTTCTGTCTAGGTTTGATGTGAAGATATACCCGTTTCGAAGGAAGGCCACAAAGTGGTCCAAATATCCACTTGCAGATTCTACAAAAAGAGTGTTTGAAAGCTGAACTATGAAAGCAAGGTTCAACTCTGTGAGTTGAATGCAAACATCACAAAGAAGTTTCTCACAATGCTTCCGTGTAGTTCTGGGAAGTTTATCCCGTTTCCAACGAAATCCTCAGAGAAGTCCAAATATCCACTTGCAGATTCTACAGAAAGTGTGTTTGGAAAATGCTCCATCTAAAGGAATGTTCAGCTCTGTTAGTTCAATGCAATGATCACTAAGAATTGTCTGTGAATGCTTCCGTTTGGTTTTTAGATGAAGTTATTTCCTTTACTACAGTAGGCCTCAAAGCAGTCCAAATCTCCAATCGCAGATTCTACAAAAAGATTGTTTACAACCTGCTCTATGTATAGGAATGTTCAACTCTGTGAGTCGAATGCAATCATCACAAAGTAGTTTCTGAGAATGCTTCCATCTAGTTTTTATGTGAAGATTTTCCTTTTCCACCACAGGCCTCAAAGCCCTCCAAATGTCCACTTGCAGATTCTAGAAAAAGAGGGTTTCAGAGCTGCTCTGTCAAGAGGAAAGTTCAATTCTTGAAGTGGAACACAAACATCACAAAGCAGTTTCTGAGAATGCTTCTGTTTAGTTTTTCTGTGAAGATGAACCCGTTTCCAACGAAATCTTCACAGAGGTCCACATATCAACTTGCAGAATCCAAAGAAAGAGAGTTTCAAAAGTGCTCCATCAACAGGATTGTTCACCTCTGTGAGTTGAATGCAGTCATCACAGGAAACATTCTGAGAATGCTTCTGTCTAGGTTTGATGTGAAGATATACCCTTTTCAAAGGAAGGCCACAAAGTGGTCCAAATATCCACTTGCAGATTCTACAAAAAGAGTGTTTGAAAGCTGAACTATGAAAGCAAGGTTCAACTCTGTGAGTTGAATGCAAACATCACAAAGAAGTTTCTCACAATGCTTCCGTGTAGTTCTGGGAAGTTTATCCCGTTTCCAACGAAATCCTCAGAGAAGTCCAAATATCCACTTGCAGATTCTACAGAAAGTGGGTTTGGAAACTGCTCCATCTAAAGGAATGTTCAGCTCTGTTAGTTCAATCCAATGATCACTAAGAATTGTCTGTGAATGCTTCCGTTTGGTTTTTAGATGAAGTTATTTCCTTTACTACAGTAGGCCTCAAAGCAATCCAAATCTCCAATCGCAGATTCTACAAAAACATTGTTTACAACCTGCTCTATCTATAGGAATGTTCAACTCTGTGAGTCGAATGCAATCATCACAAAGTAGTTTCTGAGAATGCTTCCATCTAGTTTTTATGTGAAGATTTTCCTTTTCCACCACAGGCCTCAAAGCCCTCCAAATGTCCACTTGCAGATTCTAGAATAAGAGGGTTTTAGAGCTGCTCTGTCAAGAGGAAAGTTCAATTCCTGAAGTGGAACACAAACATCACAAAGCAGTTTCTGAGAATGCTCCTGTTTAGTTTTTCTGTGAAGATGAACCCGTTTCCAACGAAATCTTCACAGAGGTCCACATATCCACTTGCAGAATCCAAAGAAAGAGAGTTTCAAAACTGCTCCATCAGCAGGATTGTTCACCTCCGTGAGTTGAATGCAGTCATCACAGGAAACATTCTGAGAATGCTTCTGTCTAGGTTTGATGTGAAGATGTACCCGTTTCAAAGGAAGGCCACAAAGTGGTCCAAATATCCACTTGCAGATTCTACAAAAAGAGTGTTTGAAAGCTGAACTATGAAAGCAAGGTTCAACTCTGTGAGTTGAATGCAAACATCAGAAAGATGATTCTCACAATGCTTCCGTGTAGTTCTGGGAAGTTTATCCCATTTCCAACGAAATCCTCAGAGAAGTCCAAATATCCACTTGCAGATTCTGCAGAAAGTGTGTTTGGAAACTGCTCCATCTAAAGGAATGTTCAGCTCTGTTAGTTCAATCCAATGATCACTAAGAATTGTCTGTGAATGCTTCCGTTTGGTTTTTAGATGAAGTTATTTCCTTTACTACAGTAGGCCTCAAAGCAGTCCAAATCTCCAATCGCAGATTCTACAAAAACATTGTTTACAACCTGCTCTATCTATAGGAATGTTCAACTCTGTGAGTCGAATGCAATCATCACAAAGTAGTTTCTGAGAATGCTTCCATCTAGTTTTTATGGGAAGATTTTCCTTTTCCACCACAGGCCTCAAAGCCCTCCAAATGTCCACTTGCAGATTCTAGAAAAAGAGGGTTTCAGAGCTGCTCTGTCAAGAGGAAAGTTCAATTCTTGAAGTGGAACACAAACATCACAAAGCAGTTTCTGAGAATGCTCCTGTTTAGTTTTTCTGTGAAGATGAACACGTTTCCAACGAAATCTTCACAGAGGTCCACATATCCACTTGCAGAATCCAAAGAAAGAGAGTTTCAAAACTGCTCCATCAGCAGGATTGTTCACCTCTGTGAGTTGAATGCAGTCATCACAGGAAACATTCTGAGAATGCTTCTGTCTAGGTTTGATGTGAAGATATACCCGTTTCGAAGGAAGGCCACAAAGTGGTCCAAATATCCACTTGCAGATTCTACACAAAGAGTGTTTGAAAGCTGAACTATGAAAGCAAGGTTCAACTCTGTGAGTTGATTGCAAACATCACAAAGAAGTTTCTCACAATGCTTCCGTGTAGTTCTGGTAAGTTTATCCCGTTTCCAACGAAATCCTTAGAGAGGTCCAAATATCCACTTGCAGATTCTACAGAAAGTGTGTTTGGAAACTGCGCCATCTAAAGGAATGTTCAGCTCTGTTAGTTCAATCCAATGATCACTAAGAATTGTCTGTGAATGCTTCCGTTTGGTTTTTAGATGAAGTTATTTCCTTTACTACAGTAGGCCTCAAAGCAGTCCAAATCTCCAATCGCAGATTCTACAAAAAGATTGTTTACAACCTGCTCTATCTATAGGAATGTTCAACTCTGTGAGTCGAATGCAATCATCACAAAGTAGTTTCTGAGAATGCTTCCATCTAGTTTTTATGTGAAGATTTTCCTTTTCCACCACAGGCCTCAAAGCCCTCCAAATGTCCACTTGCAGATTCTAGAAAAAGAGGGTTTCAGAGCTGCTCTGTCAAGAGGAAAGTTCAATTCTTGAAGTGGAACACAAACATCACAAAGCAGTTTCTGAGAATGCTTCTGTTTAGTTTTTCTGTGAAGATGAACCCGTTTCCAACGAAATCTTCACAGAGGTCCACATATCCACTTGCAGAATCCAAAGAAAGAGAGTTTCAAAACTGCTCCATCAGCAGGATTGTTCACCTCTGTGAGTTGAATGCAGTCATCACAGGAAACATTCTGAGAATGCTTCTGTCTAGGTTTGATGTGAAGATATACCCGTTTCGAAGGAAAGCCACAAAGTGGTCCAAATATCCACTTGCAGATTCTACAAAAAGAGTGTTTGAAAGCTGAACTATGAAAGCAAGTTTCAACTCTGTGAGTTGAATGCAAACATCACAAAGAAGTTTCTCAGAATGCTGCCGTGTAGTTCTGGGAAGTTTATCCCGTTTCCAACGAAATCCTCAGAGAAGTCCAAATATCCACTTGCAGATTCTACAGAAAGTGTGTTTGGAAACTGCGCCATCTAAACTAATGTTCAGCTCTGTTAGTTCAATCCAATGATCACTAAGAATTGTCTTTGAATACCTCCGTTTGGTTTTTAGATGAAGTTATTTCCTTTACTACAGTAGGCCTCAAAGCAGTCCAAATCTCCAATCGCAGATTCTACAAAAGATTGTTTACAACCTGCTCTATCTATAGGAATGTTCAACTCTGTGAGTCGAATGCAATCATCACAAAGTAGTTTCTGAGAATGCTTCCATCTAGTTTTTATGGGAAGATATTCCTTTTCCACCACAGGCCTCAAAGCCCTCCAAATGTCCACTTGCAGATTCTAGAAAAAGAGGGTTTCAGAGCTGCTCTGTCAAGAGGAAAGTTCAATTCTTGAAGTGGAACACAAACATCACAAAGCAGTTTCTGAGTGTGCTCCTGTTTAGTTTTTCTGCGAAGATGAACCCGTTTCCAAAGAAATCTTCACAGAGTTCCACATATCCACTTGCAGAATCCAAAGAAAGGGAGTTTCAAAACTGCTCCATCAACAGGATTGTTCACCTCTGAGAGTTGAATGCAGTTATCACAGGAAACATTCTGAGAATGCTTCTGTCTAGGTTTGATGTGAAGATATACCCGTTTCGAAGGAAGGCCACAAAGTGGTCCAAATATCCACTTGCAGATTCTACAAATAGAGTGTTTGAAAGCTGAACTATGAAAGCAAGGTTCAACTCTGTGAGTTGAATGCAAACATCACAAAGAAGTTTCTCACAATGCTTCCGTGTAGTTCTGGGAAGCTTATCCCGTTTCCAACGAAATCCTCAGAGAGGTCCAAATATCCACTTGCAGATGCTACAGAAAGTGTGTTTGGAAACTGCGCCATCTAAAGGAATGTTCAGCTCTGTTAGTTCAATCCAATGATCACTAAGAATTGTCTGTGAATGCTTCCGTTTCGTTTTTAGATGAAGTTATTTCCTTTACTACAGTAGGCCTCAAAGCAGTCCAAATCTCCAATCGCAGATTCTACAAAAAGATTGTTTACAACCTGCTCTATCTATAGGAATGTTCAACTCTGTGAGTCGAATGCAATCATCACAAAGTAGTTTCTGAGAATGCTTCCATCTAGTTTTTATGGGAAGATTTTCCTTTTCCACCACAGGCCTCAAAGCCCTCCAAATGTCCACTCGCAGATTCTAGAAAAAGAGGGATTCAGAGCTGCTCTGTCAAGAGGAAAGTTCAATTCTTGAAGTGGAACACAAACATCACAAAGTAGTTTCTGAGAAGGCTTCTTTTTAGTTTTTCTGTGAAGATGAACCCGTTTCCAACGAAATCTTCACAGAGGTCCACATATCCACTTGCAGAATCCAAAGAAAGAGAGTTTCAAAACTGCTCCATCAGCAGGATTGTTCACCTCTGTGAGTTGAATGCAGTCATCACAGGAAACATTCTGAGAATGCTTCTGTCTAGGTTTGATGTGAAGATATACCCGTTTCGAAGGAAGGCCACAAAGTGGTCCAAACATCCACTTGCAGATTCTACAAAAAGAGTGTTTGAAAGCTGAACTATGAAAGCAAGGTTCAACTCTGTGAGTTGAATGCAAACATCACAAAGAAGTTTCTCAGCATGCTTCCGGTGTAGTTCTGGGAAGTTTATCCCGTTTCCAACGAAATCCTCAGAGAAGTCCAAATATCCACTTGCAGATTCTACAGAAAGTGTGTTTGGAAACTGCTTCATCTAAAGGAATGTTCAGCTCCGTTAGTTCAATGCAATGATCACTAAGAATTGTCTGTGAATGCTTCCGTTTGGTTTTTAGATGAAGTTATTTCCTTTACTACAGTAGGCCTCAAAGCAGTCCAAATCTCCAATCGCAGATTCTACAAAAAGATTGTTTACAACCTGCTCTATCTATAGGAATGTTCAACTCTGTGGGTCGAATGCAATCATCACAAAGTAGTTTCTGAGAATGCTTCCATCTAGTTTTTATGTGAAGATTTTCCTTTTCCACCACAGACCTCAAAGCCCTCCAAATGTCCACTTGCAGATTCTAGAAAAAGAGGGTTTCAGAGCTGCTCTGTCAAGAGGAAAGTTCAATTCTTGAAGTGGAACACAAACATCACAAAGCAGTTTCTGAGAATGCTCCTGTTTAGTTTTTCTGTGAAGATGAACCCGTTTCCAACGAAATCTTCACAGAGGTCCACATATCAACTTGCAGAATCCAAACAAAGAGAGTTTCAAAACTGCTCCATCAACAGGATTGTGCACCTCTGTGAGTTGAATGCAGTCATCACAGGAAACATTCTGAGAATGCTTCTGTCTAGGTTTGATGTGAAGATATACCCGTTTCGAAGGAAGGCCACAAAGTGGTCCAAATATCCACTTGCAGATTCTACAAAAAGAGTGTTTGAAAGCTGAACTATGAAAGCAAGGTTCAACTCTGTGAGTTGAATGCAAACATCACAAAGAAGTTTCTCAGAATGCTTCCGTGTAGTTCTGGGAAGTTTATCCCGTTTCCAACGAAATCCTCAGAGAAGTCCAAATATCCACTTGCAGATTCTACAGAAAGTGTGTTTGGAAACTGCTCCATCTAAAGGAATGTTCAGCTCTGTTAGTTCAATCCAATGATCACTAAGAATTGTCTGTGAATGCTTCCGTTTGGTTTTTAGATGAAGTTATTTCCTTTACTACAGTAGGCCTCAAAGCAGTCCAAATCTCCAATCGCAGATTCTACAAAAACATTGTTTACAACCTGCTCTATCTATAGGAATGTTCAACTCTGTGAGTCGAATGCAATCATCACAAAGTAGTTTCTGAGAATGCTTCCATCTAGTTTTTATGTGAAGATTTTCCTTTTCCACCACAGGCATCAAAGCCCTCCAAATGTCCACTTGCAGATTCTAGAAAAAGAGGGTTTCAGAGCTGCTCTGTCAAGAGGAAAGTTCAATTCTTGAAGTGGAACACAAACATCACAAAGCAGTTTCTGAGAATGCTCCTGTTTAGTTTTCCTGTGAAGATGAACCCGTTTCCAACGAAATCTTCACAGAGGTCCACATATCCACTTGCAGAATCCAAAGAAAAAGAGTTTCAAAACTTCTCCATCAACAGGATTGTTCACCTCTATGAGTTGAATGCAGTCATCACAGGAAACATTCTGAGAATGCTTCTGTCTAGGTTTGATGTGAAGATATACCCGTTTCGAAGGAAGGCCACAAAGTGGTCCAAATATCCACTTGCAGATTCTACAAAAAGAGTGTTTGAAAGCTGAACTATGAAAGCAAGGTTCAACTCTGTGAGTTGAATGCAAACATCACAAAGAAGTTTCTCAGAATGCTTCCGTGTAGTTCTGGGAAGTTTATCCCGTTTCCAACGAAATCCTCAGAGAGGTCCAAATATCCACTTGCAGATTCTACAGAAAGTGCGTTTGGAAACTGCGCCATCTAAGGGAATGTTCAGCTCTGTTAGTTCAATCCAATGATCACTAAGAATTGTCTGTGAATGCTTCCGTTTGGTTTTTAGATGAAGTTATTTCCTTTACTACAGTAGGCCTCAAAGCAGTCCAAATCTCCAATCGCAGATTCTACAAAAAGATTGTTTACAACCTGCTCTATCTATAGGAATGTTCAACTCTGTGAGTCGAATGCAATCATCACAAAGTAGTTTCTGAGAATGCTTCCATCTAGTTTTTATGTGAAGATTTTCCTTTTCCACCACAGGCCTCAAAGCCCTCCAAATGTCCACTTGCAGATTCTAGAATAAGAGGGTTTCAGAGCTGCTCTGTTAAGAGGAAAGTTCAATTCCTGAAGTGGAACACAAACATCACAAAGCAGTTTCTGAGAATGCTCCTGTTTAGTTTTTCTGTGAAGATGAACCCGTTTCCGAGGAAATCTTCACAGAGGTCCACATATCCACTTGCAGAATCCAAAGAAAGGGAGTTTCAAAACTGCTCCATCAACAGGATGGTTCACCTCTGTGAGTTGAATGCAGTCATCACAGGAAACATTCTGAGAATGCTTCTGTCTAGGTTTGATGTGAAGATATACCCGTTTCGAAGGAAGGCCACAAAGTGGTCCACATATCCACTTGCAGATTCTACAAAAAGAGTCTTTGAAAGCTGAACTATGAAAGCAAGGTTCAACTCTGTGAGTTGAATGCAAACATCACAAAGAAGTTTCTCAGAATGCTTCCGTGTAGTTCTGGGAAGTTTATCCCGTTTCCAACGAAATCCTCAGAGCAAGTCCAAATATCCACTTGCAGATTCTACAGAAAGTGTGTTTGGAAACTGCTCCATCTAAAGGAATGTTCAGCTCTGTTAGTTCAATCCAATGATCACTAAGAATTGTCTGTGAATGCTTCCGTTTGGTTTTTAGATGAAGTTATTTCCTTTACTACAGTAGGCCTCAAAGCAGTCCAAATCTCCAATCGCAGATTCTACAAAAAGATTGTTTACAACCTGCTCTATCTATAGGAATGTTCAACTCTGTGAGTCGAATGCAATCATCACAAAGTAGTTTCTGAGAATGCTTCCATCTAGTTTTTATGTGAAGATTTTCCTTTTCCACCACAGGCCTCAAAGCCCTCCAAATGTCCACTTGCAGTTTCTAGAATAAGAGGGTTTCAGAGCTGCTCTGTCAAGAGGAAAGTACAATTCCTGAAGTGGAACACAAACATCACAAAGCAGTTTCTGATAATGCTTCTGTTTAGTTTTTCTGTGAAGATGAACCCGTTTCCAACGAAATCTTCACAGCGGTCCACATATCCACTTGCAGAATCCAAAGAAAGAGAGTTTCAAAACTGCTCCATCAGCAGGATTGTTCACCTCTGTCAGTTGAATGCAGTCATCACAGGAACCATTCTGAGAATGCTTCTGTCTAGGTTTGATGTGAAGATATACCCGTTTCGAAGGAAGGCCACAAAGTGGTCCAAATATCCACTTGCAGATTCTACAAAAAGAGTGTTTGAAAGCTGAACTATGAAAGCAAGGTTCAACTCTGTGAGTTGAATGCAAACATCACAAAGAAGTTTCTCACAATGCTTCCGTGTAGTTCTGGGAAGTTTATCCCGTTTCCAACGAAATCCTCAGACAAGTCCAAATATCCACTTGCAGATTCTACAGAAAGTGTGTTTGGAAACTGCTCCATCTAAAGGAGTGTTCAGCTCTGTTAGTTCAATCCAATGATCACTAAGAATTGTCTGTGAATGCTTCCGTTTGGTTTTTAGATGAAGTTATTTCCTTTACTACAGTAGGCCTCAAAGCAGTCCAAATCTCCAATCGCAGATTCTACAAAAAGATTGTTTACAACCTGCTCTATCTATAGGAATGTTCAACTCTGTGAGTCGAATGCAATCATCACAAAGTAGTTTCTGAGAATGCTTCCATCTAGTTTTTATGTGAAGATTTTCCTTTTCCACCACAGGCCTCACAGCCCTCCAAATGTCCACTTGCAGATTGTAGAATAAGAGGGTTTCAGAGCTGCTCTGTCAAGAGGAAAGTTCAATTCCTGAAGTGGAACACAAACATCACAAAGCAGTTTCTGAGAATGTTTCTGTTTAGTTTTTCTGTGAAGATGAACCCGTTTCCAACGAAATCTTCACAGAGGTCCACATATCCACTTGCAGAATCCAAAGAAAGAGAGTTTCAAAACTGCTCCATCAGCAGGATTGTTCACCTCTGTGAGTTGAATGCAGTCATCACAGGAAACATTCTGAGAATGCTTCTGTCTAGGTTTGATGTGAAGATATACCCGTTTCGAAGGAAGGCCACAAAGTGGTCCAAATATCCACTTGCAGATTCTACAAAAAGAGTGTTTGAAAGCTGAACTATGAAAGCAAGGTTGAACTCTGTGAGTTGAATGCAAACATCACAAAGAAGTTTCTCAGAATGCTTCCGTGTAGTTCTGGGAAGTTTATCCCGTTTCCATCGAAATCCTCAGAGAGGTCCAAATATCCACTTGCAGATTCTACGGAAAGTGTGTTTGGAAACTGCGCCATCTAAAGGAATGTTCAGCTCTGTTAGTTCAATGCAATGATCACTAAGAATTGTCTGTGAATGCTTCCGTTTGGTTTTTAGATGAAGTTATTTCCTTTACTACAGTAGGCCTCAAAGCAGTCCAAATCTCCAATCGCAGATTCTACAAAAAGATTGTTTACAACCTGCTCTATCTATAGGAATATTCAACTCTGTGAGTCGAATGCAATCATCACAAAGTAGTTTCTGAGAATGCTTCCATCTAGTTTTTATGTGAAGATTTTCCTTTTCCACCACAGGCCTCAAAGCCCTCCAAATGTCCACTTGCAGATTCTAGAATAAGAGGGTTTCAGAGCTGCTCTGTCAAGAGGAAAGTTCAATTCCTGAAGTGGAACACAAACATCACAAAGCAGTTTCTGAGAATGCTTCTGTTTAGTTTTTCTGTGAAGATGAACCCGTTTCCAACGAAATCTTCACAGAGGTCCACATATCCACTTGCAGAATCCAAAGAAGGAGAGTTTCAAAACTGCTCCATCAGCAGGATTGTTCACCTCTGTGAGTTGAATGCAGTCATCACAGGAAACATTCTGGGAATGCTTCTGTCAAGGTTTGATGTGAAGATATACCCGTTTCGAAGGAAGGCCACAAAGTGGTCCAAATATCCACTTGCAGATTCTACAAAAAGAGTGTTTGAAAGCTGAACTATGAAAGCAATGTTCAACTCTGTGAGTTGAATGCAAACATCACAAAGAAGTTTCTCAGAATGCTTCCGTGTAGTTCTGGGAAGTTTATCCCGTTTCCAACGAAATCCTCAGAGAGGTCCAAATATCCACTTGCAGATTCTACAGAAAGTGTGTTTGGAAACTGCGCCATCTAAAGGAATGTTCAGCTCTGTTAGTTCAATCCAATGATCACTAAGAATTGTCTTTGAATGCTTCCGTTTGGTTTTTAGATGAAGTTATTTCCTTTACTACAGTAGGCCTCAAAGCAGTCCAAATCTCCAATCGCAGATTCTACAAAAAGATTGTTTACAACCTGCTCTATCTATAGGAATGTTCAACTCTGTGAGTCGAATGCAATCATCACAAAGTAGTTTCTGAGAATGCTTCCATCTAGTTTTTATGTGAAGATTTTCCTTTTCCACCACAGGCCTCAAAGCCCTCCAAATGTCCACTTGCAGATTCTAGAAAAAGAGGGTTTCAGAGCTGCTCTGTCAAGAGGAAAGTTCAATTCCTGAAGTGGAACACAAACATCACAAAGCAGTTTCTGAGAATGCTTCTGTTTAGTTTTTCTGTGAAGATGAACCCGTTTCCAACGAAATCTTCACAGAGGTCCACATATCCACTTGCAGAATCCAAAGAAAGAGAGTTTCAAAACTGCTCCATCAACAGGATTGTTCACCTCTGTGAGTTGAATGCAGTCATCACAGGAAACATTCTGAGAATGCTTCTGTCTAGGTTTGATGTGAAGATATACCCGTTTCGAAGGAAGGCCACAAAGTGGTCCAAATATCCACTTGCAGATTCTACAAAAAGAGTGTTTGAAAGCTGAACTATGAAAGCAAGGTTCAACTCTGTGAGTTGAATGCAAACATCACAAAGAAGTTTCTCACAATGCTTCCGTGTAGTTCTGGGAATTTTATCCCGTTTCCAACGAAATCCTCAGAGAAGTCCAAATATCCACTTGCAGATTCTACAGAAAGTGTGTTTGGCAACTGCTCCATCTAAAGGAATGTTCAGCTCTGTTAGTTCAATCCAATGATCACTAAGAATTGTCTGTGAATGCTTCCGTTTGGTTTTTAGATGAAGTAATTTCCTTTACTACAGTAGGCCTCAAAGCAGTCCAAATCTCCAATCGCAGATTCTACAAAAAGATTGTTTACAACCTGCTCTATCTATAGGAATGTTCAACTCTGTGAGTCGAATGCAATCATCACAAAGAAGTTTCTGAGAATGCTTCCATAAAGTTTTTATGTGAAGATTTTCCTTTACCACCACAGGCCTCAAAGCCCTCCAAATGTCCACTTGCAGATTCTAGAAAAAGAGGGTTTCAGAGCTGCTCTGTCAAGAGGAAAGTTCAATTCTTGAAGTGGAACACAAACATCACAAAGCAGTTTCTGAGAATGCTCCTGTTTAGTTTTTCTGTGAAGATGAACCCGTTTCCAACGAAATCTTCACAGAGGTCCACATATCCACTTGCAGAATCCAAAGAAAGAGAGTTTCAAAACTGCTCCATCAGCAGGATTGTTCACCTCTGTGAGTTGAATGCAGTCATCACAGGAAACATTCTGAGAATGCTTCTGTCTAGGTTTGATGTGAAGATATACCCGTTTCGAAGGAAGGCCACAATCTGGTCCAAATATCCACTTGCAGATCCTACAAAAAGAGTGTTTGATAGCTGAACTATGAAAGCAAGGTTCAACTCTGTGAGTTGAATGCAAACATCACAAAGAAGTTTCTCAGAATGCTTCCGTGTAGTTCTGGGAAGTTTATCCCGTTTCCAACGAAATCCTCAGAGAGGTCCAAATATCCACTTGCAGATTCTACAGAAAGTGTGTTTGGAAACTGCTCCATCTAAAGGAATGTTCAGCTCTGTTAGTTCAATCCAATGATCACTAAGAATTGTCTGTGAATGCTTCCGTTTGGTTTTTAGATGAAGTTATTTCCTTTACTACAGTAGGCCTCAAAGCAGTCCAAATCTCCAATCGCAGATTCTACAAAAAGATTGTTTACAACCTGCTCTATCTATAGGAATGTTCAACTCTGTGAGTCGAATGCAATCATCACAAAGTAGTTTCAGAGAATGCTTCCATCTAGTTTTTATGTGAAGATTTTCCTTTTCCACCACAGGCCTCAAAGCCCTCCAAATGTCCACTTGCAGATTCTAGAAAAAGAGGGTTTCAGATCTGCTCTTTCAAGAGAAAAGTTCAATTCCTGAAGTGGAACACAAACATCACAAAGCAGTTTCTGAGAATGCTTCTGTTTAGTTTTTCTGTGAAGATGAACCCGTTTCCAACGAAATCTTCATAGATGTCCACATATCCACTTGCAGAATCCAAAGAAAGAGAGTTTCAAAACTGCTCCATCAACAGGATTCTTCACCTCTGTGAGTTGAATGCAGTCATCACAGGAAACATTCTGAGAATGCTTCTGTCTAGGTTTGATGTGAAGATATACCCGTTTCGAAGGAAGGCCACAAAGTGGTCCAAATATCCACTTGCAGATTCTACAAAAAGAGTGTTTGAAAGCTGAACTATGAAAGCAAGGTTCAACTCTGTGAGTTGAATGCAAACATCACAAAGAAGTTTCTCAGAATGCTTCCGTGTAGTTCTGGGAAGTTTATCCCGTTTCCAACGAAATCCTCAGAGAGGTCCAAATATCCACTTGCAGATTCTACAGAAAGTGTGTTTGGAAACTGCGCCATCTAAAGGAATGTTCAGCTCTGTTAGTTCAATGCAATGATCACTAAGAATTGTCTGTGAATGCTTCCGTTTGGTTTTTAGGTGAAGTTATTTCCTTTACTACAGTAGGCCTCAAAGCAGTCCAAATCTCCAATCGCAGATTCTACAAAAAGATTGTTTACAACCTTCTCTATCTATAGGAATGTTCAACTCTGTGAGTCGAATGCAATCATCACAAAGTAGTTTCTGAGAATGCTTCCATCTAGTTTTTATGTGAAGATTTTCCTTTTCCACCACAGGCCTCAAAGCCCTCCAAATGTCCACTTGCAGATTCTAGAAAAAGAGGGTTTCAGAGCTGCTCTGTCAAGAGGAAAGTTCAATTCTTGAAGTGGAACACAAACATCACAAAGCAGTTTCTGAGAATGCTCCTGTTTAGTTTTTCTGTGAAGATGAACCCGTTTCCAACGAAATCTTCACAGAGGTCCACATATCCACTTGCAGAATCCAAAGAAAGAGAGTTTCAAAACTGCTCCATCAACAGGATTGTTCACCTCTGTGAGTTGAATGCAGTCATCACAGGAAACATTCTGAGAATGCTTCTGTCTAGGTTTGATGTGAAGATATACCCGTTTCGAAGGAAGGCCACAAAGTGGTCCAAATATCCACTTGCAGATTCTACAAAAAGAGTGTTTGAAAGCTGAACTATGAAAGCAAGGTTCAACTCTGTGAGTTGAATGCAAACATCACAAAGAAGTTTCTCACAATGCTTCCGTGTAGTTCTGGGAAGTTTATCCCGTTTCCAACGAAATCCTCAGAGAAGTCCAAATATCCACTTGCAGATTCTACAGAAAGTGTGTTTGGAAACTGCTCCATCTAAAGGAATGTTCAGCTCTGTTAGTTCAATCCAATGATCACTAAGAATTGTCTGTGAATGCTTCCGTTTGGTTTTTAGATGAAGTTATTTCCTTTACTACAGTAGGCCTCAAAGCAGTCCAAATCTCCAATCGCAGATTCTACAAAAAGATTGTTTACAACCTGCTCTATCTATAGGAATGTTCAACTCTGTGAGTCGAATGCAATCATCACAAAGTAGTTTCTGAGAATGCTTCCATCTAGTTTTTATGTGAAGATTTTCCTTTTCCACCACAGGCCTCAAAGCCCTCCAAATGTCCACTTGCAGATTCTAGAATAAGAGGGTTTCAGAGCTGCTCTGTCAAGAGGAAAGTTCAATTCCTGAAGTGGAACACAAACTTCACAAAGCAGTTTCTGAGAATGTTTCTTTTTAGTTTTTCTGGGAAGATGAACCCGTTTCCAACGAAATCTTCACAGAGGTCCACATATCCACTTGCAGAAACCAAAGAAAGAGAGTTTCAAAACTGCTCCATCAGCAGGATTGTTCACCTCTGTGAGTTGAATGCAGTCATCACAGGAAACATTCTGAGAATGCTTCTGTCTAGGTTTGATGTGAAGATATACCCGTTTCGAAGGAAGGCCACAAAGTGGTCCAAATATCCACTTTCTGTAGATTCTACAAAAAGAGTGTTTGAAAGCTGAACTATGAAAGCAAGGTTCAACTCTGTGAGTTGAATGCAAACATCACAAAGAAGTTTCTCAGAATGCTTCCGTGTAGTTCTGGGAAGTTTATCCCGTTTCCAACGAAATCCTCAGAGAAGTCCAAATATCCACTTGCACATTCTACAGAAAGTGTGTTTGGAAACTGCTCCATCTAAAGGAATGTTCAGCTCTGTTAGTTCAATGCAATGATCACTAAGAATTGTCTGTGAATGCTTCCGTTTGGTTTTTAGATGAAGTTATTTCCTTTACTACAGTAGGCCTCAAAGCAGTCCAAATCTCCAATCGCAGATTCTACAAAAAGATTGTTTACAACCTGCTCTATCTATAGGAATGTTCAACTCTGTGAGTCGAATGCAATCATCACAAAGTAGTTTCTGAGAATGCTTCCATCTAGTTTTTATGTGAAGATTTTCCTTTTCCACCACAGGCCTCAAAGCCCTCCAAATGTCCACTTGCAGATTCTAGAATAAGAGGGTTTCAGAGCTGCTCTGTCAAGAGGAAAGTTCAATTCCTGAAGTGGAACACAAACATCACAAAGCAGTTTCCGAGAATGCTTCTGTTTAGTTTTTCTGTGAAGATGAACCCGTTTCCAACGAAATCTTCACAGAGGTCCACATATCCACTTGCAGAATCCAAAGAAAGAGAGTCTCAAAACTGCTCCATCAGAAGGATTGTTCACCTCTGTGAGTTGAATGCAGTCATCACAGGAAACATTCTGAGAATGCTTCTGTCTAGGTTTGATGTGAAGATATACCCGTTTCGAAGGAAGGCCACAAAGTGGTCCAAATATCCACTTGCAGATTCTACAAAAAGAGTGTTTGAAAGCTGAACTATGAAAGCAAGGTTCAACTCTGTGAGTTGAATGCAAACATCACAAAGAAGTTTCTCAGAATGCTTCCGTGTAGTTCTGGGAAGTTTATCCCGTTTCCAACGAAATCCTCAGAGAAGTCCAAATATCCACTTGCAGATTCTACAGAAAGTGTGTTTGGAAACTGCTCCATCTAGAGGAATGTTCAGCTCTGTTAGTTCAATCCAATGATCACTAAGAATTGTCTGTGAATGCTTCCGTTTGGTTTTTAGATGAAGTTATTTCCTTTACTACAGTAGGCCTCAAAGCAGTCCAAATCTCCAATCGCAGATTCTACAAAAAGATTGTTTACAACCTGCTCTATGTATAGGAATGTTCAACTCTGTGAGTCGAATGCAATCATCACAAAGTAGTTTCTGAGAATGCTTCCATCTAGTTTTTATGTGAAGATTTTCCTTTTCCACCACAGGCCTCAAAGCCCTCCAAATGTCCACTTGCAGATTCTAGAAAAAGAGGGTTTCAGAGCTGCTCTGTCAAGAGGAACGTTCAATTCCTGAAGTGGAACACAAACATCACAAAGCAGTTTCTGAGAATGCTCCTATTTAGTTTTTCTGTGAAGATGAACCCGTTTCCAACGAAATCTTCACAGAGGTCCACATATCCACTTGCAGAATCCAAAGAAAGAGAGTTTCAAAAGTGCTCCATCAACAGGATTGTTCACCTCTGTGAGTTGAATGCAGTCATCACAGGAAACATTCTGAGAATGCTTCTGTCTAGGTTTGATGTGAAGATATACCCGTTTCGAAGGAAGGCCACAAAGTGGTCCAAATATCCACTTGCAGATTCTACAAAAAGAGTGTTTGAAAGCTGAACTATGAAAGCAAGATTCAACTCTGTGAGTTGAATGCAAACATCACAAAGAAGTTTCTCACAATGCTTCCGTGTAGTTCTGGGAATTTTATCCCGTTTCCATGGAAATCCTCAGAGAAGTCCAAATATCCACTTGCAGATTCTACAGAAAGTGTGTTTGGAAACTGCTCCATCTAAAGGAGTGTTCAGCTCTGTTACTTCAATCCAATGATCACTAAGAATTGTCTGTGAATGCTTCCGTTTGGTTTTTAGATGAAGTTATTTCCTTTACTACAGTAGGCCTCAAAGCAGTCCAAATCTCCAATCGCAGATTCTACAAAAAGATTGTTCACAACCTGCTCTATCTATAGGAATGTTCAACTCTGTGAGTCGAATGCAATCATCACAAAGTAGTTTCTGAGAATGCTTCCATCTAGTTTTTATGTGAAGATTTTCCTTTTCCACCACAGGCCTCAAAGCCCTCCAAATGTCCACTTGCAGATTCTAGAAAAAGAGGGTTTCAGAGCTGCTCTGTCAAGAGGAAAGTTCAATTCCTGAAGTGGAACACAAACATCACAAAGCAGTTTCTGAGAATGCTTCTGTTTAGTTTTTCTGTGAAGATGAACCCGTTTCCAACGAAATCTTCACAGAGGTCCACATATCCACTTGCAGCATCCAAAGAAAGAGAGTTTCAAAACTGCTCCATCAACAGGATTGTTCACCTCTGTGAGTTGAATGCAGTCATCACAGGAAACATTCTGAGAATGCTTCTGTCTAGGTTTGATGTGAAGATATACCCGTTTCGAAGGAAGGCCACAAAGTGGTCCAAATATCCACTTGCAGATTCTACAAAAAGAGTGTTTGAAAGCTGAACTATGAAAGCAAGGTTCAACTCTGTGAGTTGAATGCAAACATCACAAAGAAGTTTCTCAGAATGCTTCCGTGTAGTTCTGGGAAGTTTATCCCGTTTCCAACGAAATCCTCAGAGAGGTCCAAATATCCACTTGCAGATTCTACAGAAAGTGTGTTTGGAAACTGCGCCATCTAAAGGAATGTTCAGCTCTGTTAGTTCAATCCAATGATCACTAAGAATTGTCTGTGAATGCTTCCGTTTGGTTTTTAGATGAAGTTATTTCCTTTACTACAGTAGGCCTCAAAGCAGTCCAAATCTCCAATCGCAGATTCTACAAAAAGATTGTTTACAACCTGCTCTATCTATAGGAATGTTCAACTCTGTGAGTCGAATGCAATCATCACAAAGTAGTTTCTGAGAATGCTTCCATCTAGTTTTTATGTGAAGATTTTCCTTTTCCACCACAGGCCTCAAAGCCCTCCAAATGTCCACTTGCAGATTCTAGAAAAAGAGGGTTTCAGAGCTGCTCTGTCAAGAAGAAAGTTCGATTCCTGAAGTGGAACACAAACATCACAAAGCAGTTTCTGAGAATGCTTCTGTTTAGTTTTTCTGTGAAGATGAACCCGTTTCCAACGAAATCTTCACATAGGTCCACATATCAACTTGCAGAATCCAAAGAAAGAGAGTTTCAAAACTGCTCCATCAACAGGATTGTTCACCTCTGTGAGTTGAATGCAGTCATCACAGGAAACATTCTGAGAATGCTTCTGTCTAGGTTTGATGTGAAGATATACCCGTTTCGAAGGAAGGCCACAAAGTGGTCCAAATATCCACTTGCAGATTCTACAAAAAGAGTGTTTGAAAGCTGAACTATGAAAGCAAGGTTCAACTCTGTGAGTTGAATGCAAACATCACAAAGAAGTTTCTCAGAATGCTTCCGTGTAGTTCTGGGAAGTTTATCCCGTTTCCAACGAAATCCTCAGAGAAGTCCAAATATCCACTTGCAGATTCTACAGAAAGTGTGTTTGGAAACTGCTCCATCTAAAGGAATGTTCAGCTCTGTTAGTTCAATCCAATGATCACTAAGAATTGTCTGTGAATGCTTCCGTTTGGTTTTTAGATGAAGTTATTTCCTTTACTACAGTAGGCCTCAAAGCAGTCCAAATCTCCAATCGCAGATTCTACAAAAAGATTGTTTACAACCTGCTCTATCTATAGGAATGTTCAACTCTGTGAGTCGAATGCAATCATCACAAAGTAGTTTCTGAGAATGCTTCCATCTAGTTTTTATTTGAAGATTTTCCTTTTCCACCACAGGCCTCAAAGCCCTCCAAATGTCCACTTGCAGATTCTAGAAAAAGAGGGTTTCAGAGCTGCTCTGTCAAGAGGAAAGTTCAATTCTTGAAGTGGAACACAAACATCACAAAGCAGTTTCTGAGAATGCTCCTGTTTAGTTTTTCTGTGAAGATGAACCCGTTTCCAACGAAATCTTCACAGAGGTCCACATATCAACTTGCAGAATCCAAAGAAAGAGAGTTTCAAAACTGCTCCATCAGCAGGATTGTTCACCTCTGTGAGTTGAATGCAGTCATCACAGGAAACATTCTGAGAATGCTTCTGTCTAGGTTTGAAGTGAAGATATACCCGTTTCGAAGGAAGGCCACAAAGTGGTCCAAATATCCACTTGCAGATTCTACAAAAAGAGTGTTTGAAAGCTGAACTATGAAAGCAAGGTTCAACTCTGTGAGTTGAATGCAAACATCACAAAGAAGTTTCTCAGCATGCTTTCCGTGTAGTTCTGGGAAGTTTATCCCGTTTCCAACGAAATCCTCAGAGAGGTCCAAATATCCACTTGCAGATTCTACAGAAAGTGTGTTTGGAAACTGCGCCATCTAAAGCAATGTTCAGCTCTGTTAGTTCAATGCAATGATCACTAAGAATTGTCTGTGAATGCTTCCGTTTGGTTTTTAGATGAAGTTATTTCCTTTACTACAGTAGGCCTCAAAGCAGTCCAAATCTCCAATCGCAGATTCTACAAAAAGATTGTTTACAACCTGCTCTATCTATAGGAATGTTCAACTCTGTGAGTCGAAAGCCATCATCACAAAGTAGTTTCTGAGAATGCTTCCATCTAGTTTTTATGTGAAGATTTTCCTTTTCCACCACAGGCCTCAAAGCCCTCCAAATGTCCACTTGCAGATTCTACAAAAAGAGGGTTTCAGAGCTGCTCTGTCAAGAGGAAAGTTCAATTCCTGAAGTGGAACACAAACATCACAAAGCAGTTTCTGAGAATGCTCCTGTTTAGTTTTTCTGTGAAGATGAACCCGTTTCCAACGAAATCTTCAAAGAGGTCCACATATCCACTTGCAGAATCCAAAGAAAGAGAGTTTCAAAACTGCTCCATCAGCAGGATTGTTCACCTCTGTGAGTTGAATGCAGTCATCACAGGAAACATTCTGAGAATGCTTCTGTCTAGGTTTGATGTGAAGATATACCCGTTTCGAAGGAAGGCCACAAAGTGGTCCAAATATCCACTTGCAGATTCTACAAAAAGAGTGTTTGAAAGCTGAACTATGAAAGCAAGGTTCAACTCTGTGAGTTGAATGCAAACATCACAAAGAAGTTTCTCAGAATGCTTCCGTGTAGTTCTGGGAAGTTTATCCCGTTTCCAACGAAATCCTCAGAGAAGTCCAAATATCCACTTGCAGATTCTACAGAAAGTGTGTTTGGAAAATGCTCCATCTAAAGGAATGTTCAGCTCTGTTAGTTCAATCCAATGATCACTAAGAATTGTCTGTGAATGCTTCCGTTTGGTTTTTAGATGAAGTTATTTCCTTTACTACAGTAGGCCTCAAAGCAGTCCAAATCTCCAATCGCAGATTCTACAAAAAGATTGTTTACAACCTGCTCTATCTATAGGAATGTTCAACTCTGTGAGTCGAATGCAATCATCACAAAGTAGTTTCTGAGAATGCTTCCATCTAGTTTTTATGTGAAGATTTTCCTTTTCCACCACAGGCCTCAAAGCCCTCCAAATGTCCACTTGCAGATTCTAGAAAAAGAGGGTTTCAGAGCTGCTCTGTCAAGAGGAAAGTTCAATTCTTGAAGTGGAACACAAACATCACAAAGTAGTTTCTGAGAATGCTTCTGTTTAGTTTTTCTGTGAAGATGAACCCGTTTCCAACGAAATCTTCATAGAGGTCCACATATCAACTTGCAGAATCCAAAGAAAGAGAGTTTCAAAAGTGCCCCATCAACAGGATTGTTCACCTCTGTGAGTTGAATGCAGTCATCACAGGAAACATTCTGAGAATGCTTCTGTCTAGGTTTGATGTGAAGATATACCCGTTTCGAAGGAAGGCCACAAAGTGGTCCAAATATCCACTTGCAGATTCTACAAAAAGAGTGTTTGAAAGCTGAACTATGAAAGCAAGGTTCAACTCTGTGAGTTGAATGCAAACATCACAAAGAAGTTTCTCAGAATGCTTCCCTGTAGTTCTGGGAAGCATATCCCGTTTCCAACGAAATCCTCAGAGAAGTCCAAATATCCACTTGCAGATTCTACATAAAGTGGGTTTGGAAACTGCTCCATCTAAAGGAATGTTCAGCTCTGTTAGTTCAATCCAATGATCACTAAGAATTGTCTGTGAATGCTTCCGTTTGGTTTTTAGGTGAAGTTATTTCCTTTACTACAGTAGGCCTCAAAGCAGTCCAAATCTCCAATCGAAGATTCTACAAAAAGATTGTTTACAACCTGCTCTATCTATAGGAATGTTCAACTCTGTGAGTCGAATGCAATCATCACAAAGTAGTTTCTGAGAATGCTTCCATCCAGTTTTTATGTGAAGATTTTCGTTTTCCACCACAGGCCTCAAAGCCCTCCAAATGTCCACTTGCAGATTCTAGAAAAAGAGGGTTTCAGAGCTCCTCTATCAAGAGGAAAGTTCAATTCTTGAAGTGGAACACAAACATCACAAAGCAGTTTCTGAGAATGCTCCTGTTTAGTTTTTCTGTGAAGATGAACCCGTTTCCAACGAAATCTTCACAGAGGTCCACATATCCACTTGCAGAATCCAAAGAAAGAGAGTTTCAAAACTCCTCCATCAGCAGGATTGTTCACCTCTGTGAGTTGAATGCAGTCATCACAGGAAACATTCTGAGAATGCTTCTGTCTAGGTTTGATGTGAAGATATACCCGTTTCGAAGGAAGGCCACAAAGTGGTCCAAATATCCACTTGCAGATTCTACAAAAAGAGTGTTTGAAAGCTGAACTATGAAAGCAAGGTTCAACTCTGTGAGTTGAATGCAAACATCACAAAGAAGTTTCTCACAATGCTTCCGTGTAGTTCTGGGAAGTTTATCCCGTTTCCAACGAAATCCTCAGAGAGGTCCAAATATCCACTTGCGGATTCTACAGAAAGTGTGTTTGGAAACTGCTCCATCTAAAGGAATGTTCAGCTCTGTTAGTTCAATGCAATGATCACTAAGAATTGTCTGTGAATGCTTCCGTTTGGTTTTTAGATGAAGTTATTTCCTTTACTACAGTAGGCCTCAAAGCAGTCCAAATCTCCAATCACAGATTCTACAAAAAGATTGTTTACAACCTGCTCTATCTATAGGAATGTTCAACTCTGTGAGTCGAATGCAATCATCACAAAGTAGTTTCTGAGAATGCTTCCATCTAGTTTTTATGTGAAGATTTTCCTTTTCCACCACAGGCCTCAAAGCCCTCCAAATGTCCACTTGCAGATTCTAGAAAAAGAGGGTTTCAGAGCTGCTCTGTCAAGAGAAAAGTTCAATTCTTGAAGTGGAACACAAACATCACAAAGCAGTTTCTGAGAATGCTCCTGTTTAGTTTTTCTGTGAAGATGAACCCGTTTCCAACGAAATCTTCACAGAGGTCCACATATCCACTTGCAGAATCCAAAGAAAGAGAGTTTCAAAACTGCTCCATCAGCAGGATTGTTCACCTCTGTGAGTTGAATGCAGTCATCACAGGAAACATTCTGAGAATGCTTCTGTCTAGGTTTGATGTGAAGATATACCCGTTTCGAAGGAAGGCCACAAAGTGTTCCAAACATCCACTTGCAGATTCTACAAAAAGAGTGTTTGAAAGCTGAACTATGAAAGCAAGGTTCAACTCTTTGAGTTGAATGAAAACATCCCAAAGAAGTTTCTCAGAATACTTCCGTGTAGTTCTGGGAAGTTTATCCCGTTTCCAAAGAAATCCTCAGAGAGGTCCAAATATCCACTTGGAGATTCTACAGAAAGTGGGTTTGGAAACTGCTCCATCTAAAGGAATGTTCAGCTCTGTTAGTTCAATCCAATGATCACTAAGAATTGTCTGTGAATGCTTCCGTTTGGTTTTTAGATGAAGTTATTTCCTTTACTACAGTAGGCCTCAAAGCAGTCCAAATCTCCAATCGCAGATTCTACAAAAAGATTGTTTACAACCTGCTCTATCTATAGGAATGTTCAACTCTGTGAGTCGAATGCAATCATCACAAAGTAGTTTCTGAGAATGCTTCCATCTAGTTTTTATGTGAAGATTTTCCTTTTCCACCACAGGCCTCAAAGCCCTCCAAATGTCCACTTGCAGATTCTAGAAAAAGAGGGTTTCAGAGCTGCTCTGTCAAGAGGAAAGTTCAATTCTTTAAGTGGAACACAAACATCACAAAGCAGTTTCTGAGAATGCTCCTGTTTAGTTTTTCTGTGAAGATGAACCCGTTTCCAACGAAATCTTCACAGAGGTCCACATATCCACTTGCAGAATCCAAAGAAAGAGAGTTTCAAAACTGCTCCATCAGCAGGATTGTTCACCTCTGTGAGTTGAATGCAGTCATCACAGGAAACATTCTGAGAATGCTTCTGTCTAGGTTTGATGTGAAGATATACCCGTTTCGAAGGAAGGCCACAAAGTGGTCCAAATATCCACTTGCAGATTCCACAAAAAGAGTGTTTGAAAGCTGAACTATGAAAGCAAGGTTCAACTTTGTGAGTTGAATGCAAACATCACAGAGAAGTTTCTCACAATGCTTCCGTGTAGTTCTGGGAAGTTTATCCCGTTTCCAACGAAATCCTCAGAGTAGGTCCAAATATCCACTTGCAGATTCTACAGAAAGTGTGTTTGGAAACTGCGCCATCTAAAGGAATGTTCAGCTCTGTTAGTTCAATGCAATGATCACTAAGAATTGTCTGTGATTGCTTCCGTTTGGTTTTTAGATGAAGTTATTTCCTTTACTACAGTAGACCTCAAAGCAGTCCAAATTTCCAATCGCAGATTCTACAAAAAGATTGTTTACAACCTGCCCTATCTATAGGAATGTTCAACTCTGTGAGTCGAATGCAATCATCACAAAGTAGTTTCTGAGAATGCTTCCATCTAGTTTTTATGTGAAGATTTTCCTTTTCCACCACAGGCCTCAAAGCCCTCCAAATGTCCACTTGCAGATTCTAGAATAAGAGGGTTTCAGAGCTGCTCTGTCAAGAGGAAAGTTCAATTCTTGAAGTGGAACACAAACATAACAAAGCAGTTTCTGAGAGTGCTTCTGTTTAGTTTTTCTGTGAAGATGAACCCGTTTCCAACGAAATCTTCACAGAGGTCCACATATCCACTTGCAGAATCCAAAGAAAGAGAGTTTCAAAACTGCTGCATCAGCAGGATTGTTCACCTCTGTGAGTTGAATGCAGTCATCACAGGAAACATTCTGAGAATGCTTCTGTCTAGGTTTGATGTGAAGATATACCCGTTTCGAAGGAAGGCCACAAAGTGGTCCAAATATCCACTTGCAGATTCTACAAAAAGAGTGTTTGAAAGCTGAACTATGAAAGCAAGGTTCAACTCTGTGAGTTGAATGCAAACATCACAAAGAAGTTTCTCAGAATGCTTCCGTGTAGTTCTGGGAAGTTTATCCCGTTTCCAACGTTATCCTCAGAGAGGTCCAAATATCCACTTGCAGATTCTACAGAAAGTGTGTTTGGAAACTGCTCCATCTAAAGGAATGTGCAGCTCTGTTAGTTCAATCCAATGATCACTAAGAATTGTATGTGAATGCTTCCGTTTGGTTTTTAGATGAAGTTATTTCCTTTACTACAGTAGACCTCAAAGCAGTCCAAATCTCCAATCGCAGATTCTACAAAAAGATTGTTTACAACCTGCTCTATCTATAGGAATGTTCAACTCTGTGAGTCGAATGCAATCATCACAAAGTAGTTTCTGAGAATGCTTCCATCTAGTTTTTATGTGAAGATTTTCCTTTTCCACCACAGGCCTAAAAGCCCTCCAAATGTCCACTTGCAGATTCTAGAAAAAGAGGGTTTCAGAGCTGCTCTGTCAAGAGGAAAGTTCAATTTTTGAAGTGGAACACAAACATCACAAAGCAGTTTCTGAGAATGCTCCTGTTTAGTTTTTCTGAGAAGATGAACCCGTTTCCAACGAAATCTTCACAGAGGTCCACATATCCACTTGCAGAATCCAAAGAAAGAGAGTTTCAAAACTGCTCCATCAGCAGGATTGTTCACCTCTGTGAGTTGAATGCAGTCATCACAGGAAACATTCTGAGAATGCTTCTGTCTAGGTTTGATGTGAAGATATACCCGTTTCGAAGGAAGGCCACAAAGTGGTCCAAATATCCACTTGCAGATTCTACAAAAAGAGTGTTTGAAAGCTGAACTATGAAAGCAAGGTTCAACTCTGTGAGTTGAATGCAAACATCACAAAGAAGTTTCTCAGAATGCTTCCGTGTAGTTCTGGGAAGTTTTCCCGTTTCCAACGAAATCCTCAGAGAAGTCCAAATATCCACTTGCAGATTCTACAGAAAGTGTGTTTGGAAACTGCTCCATCTAAAGGAATGTTCAGCTCTGTTAGTTCAATCCAATGATCACTAAGAATTGTCTGTGAATGCTTCCGTTTGGTTTTTAGATGAAGTTATTTCCTTTACTACAGTAGGCCTCAAAGCAGTCCAAATCTCCAATCGCAGATTCTACAAAAAGATTGTTTACAACCTGCTCTATCTATAGGAATGTTCAACTCTGTGAGTCGAATGCAATCATCACAAAGTAGTTTCTGAGAATGCTTCCATCTAGTTTTTATGTGAAGATTTTCCTTTTCCACCACAGGCCTCAAAGCCCTCCAAATGTCCACTTGCAGATTCTAGAATAAGAGGGTTTCAGAGCTGCTCTGTCAAGAGGAAAGTTCAATTCCTGAAGTGGAACACAAACATCACAAAGCAGTTTCTGAGAATGCTTCTGTTTAGTTTTTCTGTGAAGATGAACCCGTTTCCAACGAAATCTTCACAGAGGTCCACATATCAACTTGCAGAATCCAAAGAAAGAGAATTTCAAAAGTGCCCCATTAACAGGATTGTTCACCTCTGTGAGTTGAATGCAGTCATCACAGGAAACATTCTGAGAATGCTTCTGTCTAGGTTTGATGTGAAGATATACCCGTTTCGAAGGAAGGCCACAAAGTGGTCCAAATATCCACTTGCAGATTCTACAAAAAGAGTGTTTGAAAGCTGAACTATGAAAGCAAGGTTCAACTCTGTGAGTTGAATGCAAACATCACAGAGAAGTTTCTCAGAATGCTTCCGTGTAGTTCTGGGAAGTTTATCCCGTTTCCAACGAAATCCTCAGAGAGGTCCAAATATCCACTTGCAGATTCTACAGAAAGTGTGTTTGGAAACTGCGCCATCTAAAGGAATGTTCAGCTCTGTTAGTTCAATGCAATGATCACTAAGAATTGTCTGTGAATGCTTCCGTTTGGTTTTTAGATGAAGTTATTTCCTTTACTACAGTAGGCCTCAAAGCAGTCCAAATCTCCAATCGCAGATTCTACAAAAAGATTGTTTACAACCTGCTCTATCTATAGGAATGTTCAACTCTGTGAGTCGAATGCAATCATCACAAAGTAGTTTCTGAGAATGCTTCCATCTAGTTTTTATGTGAAGATTTTCCTTTTGCACCACAGGCCTCAAAGCCCTCCAAATGTCCACTTGCAGATTCTAGAATAAGAGGGTTTCAGAGCTGCTCTGTCAAGAGGAAAGTTCAATTCCTGAAGTGGAACACAAACATCACAAAGCAGTTTCTGAGAATGCTTCTGTTTAGTTTTTCTGTGAAGATGAACCCGTTTCCAACGAAATCTTCACAGAGGTCCACATATCAACTTGCAGAATCCAAAGAAAGAGAGTTTCAACACTGCTCCATCAGCAGGATTGTTCACCTCTGTGAGTTGAATGCAGTCATCACAGGAAACATTCTGAGAATGCTTCTGTCTAGGTTTGATGTGAAGATATACCCGTTTCGAAGGAAGGCCACAAAGTGGTCCCAATATCCACTTGCAGATTCTACAAAAAGAGTGTTTGAAAGCTGAACTATGAAAGCAAGGTTCAACTCTGTGAGTTGAATGCAAACATCACAAAGAAGTTTCTCACAATGCTTCCGTGTAGTTCTGGGAAGTTTATCCCGTTTCCAACGAAATCCTCAGAGAGGTCCAAATATCCACTTGCAGATTCTACAGAAAGTGTGTTTGGAAACTGCTCCATCTAAAGGAATGTTCAGCTCTGTTAGTTCAATGCAATGATCACTAAGAATTGTCTGTGAATGCTTCCGTTTGGTTTTTAGATGAAGTTATTTCCTTTACTACAGTAGGCCTCAAAGCAGTCCAAATCTCCAATCACAGATTCTACAAAAAGATTGTTTACAACCTGCTCTATCTATAGGAATGTTCAACTCTGTGAGTCGAATGCAATCATCACAAAGTAGTTTCTGAGAATGCTTCCATCTAGTTTTTATGGGAAGATTTTCCTTTTCCACCACAGGCCTCAAAGCCCTCCAAATGTCCACTTGCAGATTCTAGAAAAAGAGGGTTTCAGAGCTGCTCTGTCAAGAGGAAAGTTCAATTCTTGAAGTGGAACACAAACATCACAAAGCAGTTTCTGAGAATGCTTCTGTTTAGTTTTTCTGTGAAGATGAACCCGTTTCCAACGAAATCTTCACAGAGGTCCACATATCCACTTGCAGAATCCAAAGAAAGAGAGTTTCAAAACTGCTCCATCAACAGGATTGTTCACCTCTGTGAGTTGAATGCAGTCATCACAGGAAACATTCTGAGAATGCTTCTGTCTAGGTTTGATGTGAAGATATACCCGTTTCGAAGGAAGGCCACAAAGTGGTCCAAATATCCACTTGCAGATTCTACAAAAAGAGTGTTTGAAAGCTGAACTATGAAAGCAAGGTTCAACTCTGTGAGTTGAATGCAAACATCACAAAGAAGTTTCTCAGAATGCTTCCGTGTAGTTCTGGGAAGTTTATCCCGTTTCCAACGAAATCCTCAGTAGAGGTCCAAATATCCACTTGCAGATTCTACAGAAAGTGGGTTTGGCAACTGCTCCATCTAAAGGAATGTTCAGCTCTGTTAGTTCAATCCAATGATCACAAAGAATTGTCTCTGAATGCTTCCGTTTGGTTTTTAGATGAAGTTATTTCCTTTACTACAGTAGGCCTCAAAGCAGTCCAAATCTCCAATCGCAGATTCTACAAAAAGATTGTTTACAACCTGCTCTATCTATAGGAATGTTCAACTCTGTGAGTCGAATGCAATCATCACAAAGTAGTTTCTGAGAATGCTTCCATCTAGTTTTTATGGGAAGATTTTCCTTTTCCACCACAGGCCTCAAAGCCCTCCAAATGTCCACTTGCAGATTCTAGAAAAAGAGGGTTTCAGAGCTGCTCTGTCAAGAGGAAAGTTCAATTCTTGAAGTGGAACACAAACATCACAAAGCAGTTTCTGAGAATGCTTCTGTTTAGTTTTTCTGTGAAGATGAACCCGTTTCCAACGAAATCTTCACAGAGGTCCACATATCCACTTGCAGAATCCAAAGAAAGAGAGTTTCAAAACTGCTCCATCAGCAGGATTGTTCACCTCTGTGAGTTGAATGCAGTCATCACAGGAAACATTCTGAGAATGCTTCTGTCTAGGTTTGATGTGAAGATATACCCGTTTCGAAGGAAGGCCACAAAGTGGTCCAAATATCCACTTGCAGATTCTACAAAAAGAGTGTTTGAAAGCTGAACTATGAAAGCAAGGTTCAACTCTGTGAGTTGAATGCAAACATCACAAAGAAGTTTCTCAGAATGCTTCCGTGTAGTTCTTGGAAGTTTAGCCCGTTTCCAACGAAATCCTCAGAGAGGTCCAAATATCCACTTGCAGATTCTACAGAAAGTGTGTTTGGAAACTGCTCCATCTAAAGGAATGTTCAGCTCTGTTAGTTCAATCCAATGATCACTAAGAATTTTCTGTGAATGCTTCCGTTTGGTTTTTAGATGAAGTTATTTCCTTTACTACAGTAGGCCTCAAAGCAGTCCAAATCTCCAATCGCAGATTCTACAAAAAGATTGTTTACAACCTGCTCTATCTATAGGAATGTTCAACTCTGTGAGTCGAATGCAATCATCACAAAGTAGTTTCTGAGAATGCTTCCATCTAGTTTTTATGTGAAGATTTTCCTTTTCCACCACAGGCATCAAAGCCCTCCAAATGTCCACTTGCAGATTCTAGAAGAAGAGGGTTTCAGAGCTGCTCTGTCAAGAGGAAAGTTCAATTCTTGAAGTGGAACACAAACATCACAAAGCAGTTTCTGAGAATGCTTCTGTTTAGTTTTTCTGTGAAGATGAACCCGTTTCCAACGAAATCTTCACAGAGGTCCACATATCCACTTGCAGAATCCAAAGAAAGAGAGTTTCAAAACTGCTCCATCAGCAGGATTGTTCACCTCTGTGAGTTGAATGCAGTCATCACAGGAAACATTCTGAGAATGCTTCTGTCTAGGTTTGATGTGAAGATATACCCGTTTCCAAGGAAGGCCACAAAGTGGTCCAAATATCCACTTGCAGATTCTACAAAAGGAGTGTTTGAAAGCTGAACTATGAAAGCAAGGTTCAACTCTGTGAGTTGAATGCAAACATCACAAAGAAGTTTCTCACAATGCTTCCGTGTAGTTCTGGGAAGTTTATCCCGTTTCCAACGAAATCCTCAGAGAGGTCCAAATATCCACTTGCAGATTCTACAGAAAGTGTGTTTGGAAACTGCGCCATCTAAAGGAATGTTCAGCTCTGTTAGTTCAATGCAATGATCACTAAGAATTGTCTGTGAATGCTTCCGTTTGCTTTTTAGATGAAGTTATTTGCTTTACTACAGTAGGCCTCAAAGCAGTGCAAATCTCCAATCGCAGATTCTACAAAAAGATTGTTTACAACCTGCTCTATCTATAGGAATGTTCAACTCTGTGAGTCGAATGCAATCATCACAAAGTAGTTTCTGAGAATGCTTCCATCTAGTTTTTATGTGAAGATTTTCCTTTTCCACCACAGGCCTCAAAGCCCTCCAAATGTCCACTTGCAGATTCTAGAAAAAGAGGGTTTCAGAGCTGCTCTGTCAAGAGGAAAGTTCAATTCTTGAAGTGGAACACAAACATCACAAAGTAGTTTCTGAGAATGCTTCTGTTTAGTTTTTCTGTGAAGATGAACCCGTTTCCAACGAAATCTTCACAGAGGTCCACATATCAACTGGCAGAATCCAAAGAAAGAGAGTTTCAAAAGTGCTCCATCAACAGGATTGTTCACCTCTGTGAGTTGAATGCAGTCATCACAGGAAACATTCTGAGAATGCTTCTGTCTAGGTTTGATGTGAAGATATACCCGTTTCGAAGGAAGGCCACAAAGTGGTCCAAATATCCACTTGCAGATTCTACAAAAAGAGTGTTTGAAAGCTGAACTATGAAAGCAAGTTTCAACTCTGTGAGTTGAATGCAAACATCACAAAGAAGTTTCTCAGCATGCTTCCGTGTAGTTCTGGGAAGTTTATCCCGTTTCCAACGAAATCCTCAGAGAAGTCCAAATATCCACTTGCAGATTCTACAGAAAGTGTGTTTGGAAACTGCTCCATCTAAAGGAATGTTCAGCTCTGTTAGTTCAATGCAATGATCACTAAGAATTGTCTGTGAATGCTTCCGTTTGGTTTTTAGATGAAGTTATTTCCTTTACTACAGTAGGCCTCAAAGCAGTCCAAATCTCCAATCGCAGATTCTACAAAAAGATTGTTTACAACCTGCTCTATCTATAGGAATGTTCAACTCTGTGAGTCGAATGCAATCATCACAAAGTAGTTTCTGAGAATGCTTCCATCTAGTTTTTATGTGAAGATTTTCCTTTTTCACCACAGGCCTCAAAGCCCTCCAAATGTCCACTTGCAGATTCTAGAAAAAGAGGGTTTCAGAGCTGCTCTGTCAAGAGGAAAGTTCAATTCTTGAAGTGGAACACAAACATCACAAAGCAGTTTCTGAGAATGCTCCTGTTTAGTTTTTCTGTGAAGATGAACCCGTTTCCAACGAAATGTTCACAGAGGTCCACATATCCACTTGCAGAATCCAAAGAAAGAGAGTTTCAAAACTGCTCCATCAACAGGATTGTTCACCTCTGTGAGTTGAATGCAGTCATCACAGAAAACATTCTGAGAATGCTTCTGTCTAGGTTTGATGTGAAGATATACCCGTTTCGAAGGAAGGCCACAAAGTGGTCCAAATATCCACTTGCAGATTCTACAAAAAGAGTGTTTGAAAGCTGAACTATGAAAGCAAGGTTCAACTCTGTGAGTTGAATGCAAACATCACAAAGAAGTTTCTCAGAATGCTTCCGTGTAGTTCTGGGAAGTTTATCCCTTTTCCAATGAAATCCTCAGAGAGGTCCAAATATCCACTTGCAGATTCTACAGAAAGTGTGTTTGGAAACTGCGCCATCTAAAGGAATGTTCAGCTCTGTTAGTTCAATGCAATGATCACTAAGAATTGTCTGTGAATGCTTCCGTTTGGTTTTTAGATGAAGTTATTTCCTTTACTACAGTAGGCCTCAAAGCAGTCCAAATCTCCAATCGCAGATTCTACAAAAAGATTGTTTACAACCTGCTCTATCTATAGGAATGTTCAACTCTGTGAGTCGAATGCAATCATCACAAAGTAGTTTCTGAGAATGCTTCCATCTAGTTTTTATGGGAAGATTTTCCTTTTCCACCACAGGCCTCAAAGCCCTCCAAATGTCCACTTGCAGATTCTAGAAAAAGAGGGTTTCAGAGCTGCTCTGTCAAGAGGAAAGTTCAATTCTTGAAGTGGAACACAAACATCACAAAGCAGTTTCTGAGAATGCTCCTGTTTAGTTTTTCTGTGAAGATGAACCCGTTTCCAACGAAATCTTCACAGAGGTCCACATATCAACTTGCAGAATCCAAAGAAAGAGAGTTTCAAAACTGCTCCATCAGCAGGATTGTTCACCTCTGTGAGTTGAATGCAGTCATCACAGGAAACATTCTGAGAATGCTTCTGTCTAGGTTTGAAGTGAAGATATACCCGTTTCGAAGGAAGGCCACAAAGTGGTCCAAATATCCACTTGCAGATTCTACAAAAAGAGTGTTTGAAAGCTGAACTATGAAAGCAAGGTTCAACTCTGTGAGTTGAATGCAAACATCACAAAGAAGTTTCTCAGCATGCTTCCGTGTAGTTCTGGGAATTTTATCCCGTTTCCAACGAAATCCTCAGAGAGGTCCAAATATCCACTTGCAGATTCTACAGAAAGTGTGTTTGGAAACTGCTCCATCTAAAGCAATGTTCAGCTCTGTTAGTTCAATGCAATGATCACTAAGAATTGTCTGTGAATGCTTCCGTTTGGTTTTTAGATGAAGTTATTTCCTTTACTACAGTAGGCCTCAATGCAGTCCAAATCTCCAATCGCAGATTCTACAAAAAGATTGTTTACAACCTGCTCTATCTATAGGAATGTTCAACTCTGTGAGTCGAATGCAATCATCACAAAGTAGTTTCTGAGAATGCTTCCATCTAGTTTTTATGTGAAGATTTTCCTTTTCCACCACAGGCCTCAAAGCCCTCCAAATGTCCACTTGCAGATTCTAGAAAAAGAGGGTTTCAGAGCTGCTCTGTCAAGAGGAAAGTTCAATTCTTGAAGTGGAACACAAACATCACAAAGTAGTTTCTGAGAATGCTTCTGTTTAGTTTTTCTGTGAAGATGAACCCGTTTCCAACGAAATCTTCACAGAGGTCCACATATCAACTTGCAGAATCCAAAGAAAGAGAGTTTCAAAAGTGCTCCATCAACAGGATTGTTCACCTCTGTGAGTTGAATGCAGTCATCACAGGAAACATTCTGAGAATGCTTCTGTCTAGGTTTGATGTGAAGATATACCCGTTTCGAAGGAAGGCCACAAAGTGGTCCAAATATCCACTTGCAGATTCTACAAAAAGAGTGTTTGAAAGCTGAACTATGAAAGCAAGGTTCAACTCTGTGAGTTGAATGCAAACATCACAAAGAAGTTTCTCACAATGCTTCCGTGTAGTTCTGGGAAGTTTATCCCGTTTCCAACGAAATCCTCAGAGAGGTCCAAATATCCACTTGCAGATTCTACAGAAAGTGGGTTTGGAAACTGCTCCATCTAAAGGAATGTTCAGCTCTGTTAGTTCAATCCAATGATCACTAAGAATTGTCTGTGAATGCTTCCGTTTGGTTTTTAGATGAAGTTATTTCCTTTACTACAGTAGGCCTCAAAGCAGTCCAAATCTCCAATCGCAGATTCTACAAAAAGATTGTTTACAACCTGCTCTATCTATAGGAATGTTCAACTCTGTGAGTCGAATGCAATCATCACAAAGTAGTTTCTGAGAATGCTTCCATCTAGTTTTTATGTGAAGATTTTCCTTTTCCACCACAGGCCTCAAAGCCCTCCAAATGTCCACTTGCAGATTCTAGAAAAAGAGGGTTTCAGAGCTGCTCTGTCAAGAGGAAAGTTCAATTCTTGAAGTGGAACACAAACATCACAAAGCAGTTTCTGAGAATGCTCCTGTTTAGTTTTTCTGTGAAGATGAACCCGTTTCCAACGAAATCTTCACAGAGGTCCACATATCCACTTGCAGAATCCAAAGAAAGAGAGTTTCAAAACTGCTCCATCAGCAGGATTGTTCACCTCTGTGAGTTGAATGCAGTCATCACAGGAAACATTCTGAGAATGCTTCTGCCTAGGTTTGATGTGAAGATATACCCGTTTCGAAGGAAGGCCACAAAGTGGTCCAAATATCCACTTGCAGATTCTACAAAAAGAGTGTTTGAAAGCTGAACTATGAAAGCAAGGTTCAACTCTGTGAGTTGAATGCAAACATCACAAAGAAGTTTCTCAGAATGCTTCCGTGTAGTTCTGGGAAGTTTATCCCGTTTCCAACGAAATCCTCAGAGAAGTCCAAATATCCACTTGCAGATTCTACAGAAAGTGTGTTTGGAAACTGCTCCATCTAAAGGAATGTTCAGCTCTGTTAGTTCAATCCAGTGATCAGTAAGAATTGTCTGTGAATGCTTCCGTTTGGTTTTTAGATGAAGTTATTTCCTTTACTACAGTAGGCCTCAAAGCAGTCCAAATCTCCAATCGCAGATTCTACAAAAAGATTGTTTACAACCTGCTCTATCTATAGGAATGTTCAACTCTGTGAGTCGAATGCCATCATCACAAAGTAGTTTCTGAGAATGCTTCCATCTAGTTTTTATGTGAAGATTTTCCTTTTCCACCACAGGCCTCAAAGCCCTCCAAATGTCCACTTGCAGATTCTAGAATAAGAGGGTTTCAGAGCTGCTCTGTCAAGAGGAAAGTTCAATTCTTGAAGTGGAACACAAACATCACAAAGTAGTTTCTGAGAATGCTTCTGTTTAGTTTTTCTGTGAAGATGAACCCGTTTCCAACGAAATCTTCACAGAGGTCCACATATCAACTTGCAGAATCCAAAGAAAGAGAGTTTCAAAAGTGCTCCATCAACAGGATTGTTCACCTCTGTGAGTTGAATGCAGTCATCACAGGAAACATTCTGAGAATGCTTCTGTCTAGGTTTGATGTGAAGATATACCCGTTTCGAAGGAAGGCCACAAAGTGGTCCAAATATCCACTTGCAGATTCTACAAAAAGAGTGTTTGAAAGCTGAACTATGAAAGCAAGGTTCAACTCTGTGAGTTGAATGGAAACATCACAAAGAAGTTTCTCAGAATGCTTCCGTGTAGTTCTGGGAAGTATATCCCGTTTCCAACGAAATCCTCAGAGAAGTCCAAATATCCACTTGCAGATTCTACAGAAAGTGGGTTTGGAAACTGCTCCATCTAAAGGAATGTTCAGCTCTGTTAGTTCAATGCAATGATCACTAAGAATTGTCTGTGAATGCTTCCGTTTGGTTTTTAGATGAAGTTATTTCCTTTACTACAGTAGGCCTCAAAGCAGTCCAAATCTCCAATCGCAGATTCTACAAAAAGATTGTTTACAACCTGCTCTATCTATAGGAATGTTCAACTCTGTGAGTCGAATGCAATCATCACAAAGTAGTTTCTGAGAATGCTTCCATCTAGTTTTTATGTGAAGATTTTCCTTTTCCACCACAGGCCTCAAAGCCCTCCAAATGTCCACTTGCAGATTCTAGAATAAGAGGGTTTCAGAGCTGCTCTGTCAAGAGGAAAGTTCAATTCCTGAAGTGGAACACAAACTTCACAAAGCAGTTTCTGAGAATGTTTCTTTTTAGTTTTTCTGGGAAGATGAACCCGTTTCCAACGAAATCTTCACAGAGGTCCACATATCCACTTGCAGAACCCAAAGAAAGAGAGTTTCAAAACTGCTCCATCAGCAGGATTGTTCACCTCTGTGAGTTGAATGCAGTCATCACAGGAAACATTCTGAGAATGCTTCTCTTTCTAGGTTTGAAGTGAAGATATACCCGTTTCGAAGGAAGGCCACAAAGTGGTCCAAATATCCACTTGCAGATTCTACAAATAGAGTGTTTGAAAGCTGAACTATGAAAGCAAGGTTCAACTCTGTGAGTTGAATGGAAACATCACAAAGAAGTTTCTCAGCATGCTTCCGTGTAGTTCTGGGAAGTTTATCCCATTTCCAACGAAATCCTCAGAGAGGTCCAAATATCCACTTGCAGATTCTACAGAAAGTGGGTTTGGAAACTGCGCCATCTAAAGCAATGTTCAGCTCTGTTAGTTCAATGCAATGATCACTAAGAATTGTCTGTGAATGCTTCCGTTTGGTTTTTAGATGAAGTTATTTCCTTTACTACAGTAGGCCTCAAAGCAGTCCAAATCTCCAATCGCAGATTCTACAAAAAGATTGTTTACAACCTGCTCTATCTATAGGAATGTTCAACTCTGTGAGTCGAATGCAATCATCACAAAGTAGTTTCTGAGAATGCTTCCATCTAGTTATTATGTGAAGATTTTCCTTTTCCACCACAGGCCTCAAAGCCCTCCAAATGTCCACTTGCAGATTCTAGAATAAGAGGGTTTCAGAGCTGCTCTGTCAAGAGGAATGTTCAATTCCTGAAGTGGAACACAAACATCACAAAGCAGTTTCTGAGAATGCTTCTTTTTAGTTTTTCTGTGAAGATGAACCCGTTTCCAACGAAATCTTCACAGAGGTCCACATATCTACTTGCAGAATCCAAAGAAAGAGAGTTTGAAAACTGCTCCATCAGCAGAATTGTTCACCTCTGTGAGTTGAATGCAGTCATCACAGGAAACATTCTGAGAATGCTTCTGTCTAGGTTTGATGTGAAGATATACCCGTTTCGAAGGAAGGCCACAAAGTGGTCCAAATATCCACTTGCAGATTCTGCAAAAAGAGTGTTTGAAAGCTGAACTATGAAAGCAAGGTTCAACTCTGTGAGTTGAATGCAAACATCACAAAGAAGTTTCTCAGAATGCTTCCGTGTAGTTCTGGGAAGTTTATCCCGTTTCCAACGAAATCCTCAGAGATGTCCAAATATCCACTTGCAGATTCTACAGAAAGTGTGTTTGGAAAATGCTCCATCTAAAGGAATGTTCAGCTCTGTTAGTTCAATGCAATGATCACTAAGAATTGTCTGTGAATGCTTCCGTTTGGTTTTTAGATGAAGTTATTTCCTTTACTGCAGTAGGCCTCAAAGCAGTCCAAATCTCCAATCGCAGATTCTACAAAAAGATTGTTTACAACCTGCTCTATCTATAGGAATGTTCAACTCTGTGAGTCGAATGCAATCATCACAAAGTAGTTTCTGAGAATGCTTCCATCTAGTTTTTATGTGAAGATTTTCCTTTTCCACCACAGGCCTCAAAGCCCTCCAAATGTCCACTTGCAGATTCTAGAAAAAGAGGGTTTCAGAGCTGCTCTGTCAAGAGGAAAGTTCAATTCTTGAAGTGGAACACAAACATCACAAAGCAGTTTCTGAGAATGCTCCTGTTTAGTTTTTCTGTGAAGATGAACCCGTTTCCAACGAAATCTTCACAGAGGTCCACATATCCATATCCACTTGCAGAATCCAAAGAAAGAGAGTTTCAAAACTGCTCCATCAACAGGATTGTTCACCTCTGTGAGTTGAATGCAGTCATCACAGGAAACATTCTGAGAATGCTTCTGTCTAGGTTTGATGTGAAGATATACCCGTTTGGAAGGAAGGCCACAAAGTGGTCCAAATATCCACTTGCAGATTCTACAAAAAGAGTGTTTGAAAGCTGAACTATGAAAGCAAGGTTCAACTCTGTGAGTTGAATGCAAACATCACAAAGAAGTTTCTCAGAATGCTTCCGTGTAGTTCTGGGAAGTTTATCCCGTTTCCAACGAAATCCTCAGAGAAGTCCAAATATCCACTTGCAGATTCTACAGAAAGTGGGTTTGGAAACTGCTCCATCTAAAGGAATGTTCAGCTCTGTTAGTTCAATCCAATGATCACTAAGAATTGTCTGTGAATGCTTCCGTTTGGTTTTTAGATGAAGTTATTTCCTTTACTACAGTAGGCCTCAAAGCAGTCCAAATCTCCAATCGCAGATTCTACAAAAAGATTGTTTACAACCTGCTCTATCTATAGGAATGTTCAACTCTGTGAGTCGAATGCAATCATCACAAAGTAGTTTCTGAGAATGCTTCCATCTAGTTTTTATGTGAAGATTTTCCTTTTCCACCACAGGCCTCAAAGCCCTCCAAATGTCCACTTGCAGATTCTAGAAAAAGAGGGTTTCAGAGCTGCTCTGTCAAGAGGAAAGTTCAATTCTTGAAGTGGAACACAAACATCACAAAGCAGTTTCTGAGAATGCTCCTGTTTAGTTTTTCTGTGAGGATGAACCCGTTTCCAACGAAATCTTCACAGAGGTCCACATATCCACTTGCAGAATCCAAAGAAAGAGAGTTTCAAAACTGCTCCATCAGCAGGATTGTTCACCTCTGTGAGTTGAATGCAGTCATCACAGGAAACATTCTCAGAATGCTTCTGTCTAGGTTTGATGTGAAGATATACCCGTTTCAAAGGAAGGCCACAAAGTGGTCCAAATATCCACTTGCAGATTCTACAAAAAGAGTGTTTGAAAGCTGAACTATGAAACCAAGGTTCAACTCTGTGAGTTGAATGCAAACATCACAAAGAAGTTTCTCACAATGCTTCCGTGTAGTTCTGGGAAGTTTATCCCGTTTCCAACGATATCCTCAGAGAAGTCCAAATATCCACTTGCAGATTCTACAGAAAGTGTGTTTGGAAACTGCTCCATCTAAAGGAATGTTCAGCTCTGTTAGTTCAATCCAATGATCACTAAGAATTGTCTGTGAATGCTTCCGTTTGGTTTTTAGATGAAGTTATTTCCTTTACTACAGTAGGCCTCAAAGCAGTCCAAATCTCCAATCGCAGATTCTACAAAAAGATTGTTTACAACCTGCTCTATCTATAGGAATGTTCAACTCTGTGAGTCGAATGCAATCATCACAAAGTAGTTTCTGAGAATGCTTCCATCTAGTTTTTATGTGAAGATTTTCCTTTTCCACAACAGGCCTCAAAGCCCTCCAAATGTCCACTTGCAGATTCTAGAAAAAGAGGGTTTCAGAGCTGCTCTGTCAAGAGGAAAGTTCAATTCTTGAAGTGGAACACAAACATCACAAATCAGTTTCTGAGAATGCTCCTGTTTAGTTTTTCTGTGAAGATGAGCACGTTTCCAACGAAATCTTCACAGAGGTCCACATATCCACTTGCAGAATCCAAAGAAAGAGAGTTTCAAAACTGCTCCATCAGCAGGATTGTTCACCTCTGTGAGTTGAATGCAGTCATCACAGGAAACATTCTGAGAATGCTTCTGTCTAGGTTTGATGTGAAGATATACCCGTTTCGAAGGAAGGCCACAAAGTGGTCCAAATATCCACTTGCAGATTCTACAAAAAGAGTGTTTGAAAGCTGAACTATGAAAGCAAGGTTCAACTCTGTGAGTTGAATGCAAGCATCACAAAGAAGTTTCTCACAATGCTTCCGTGTAGTTCTGGGAAGTTTATCCCGTTTCCAACGAAATCCTCAGAGAGGTCCAAATATCCACTTGCAGATTCTACAGAAAGTGGGTTTGGAAACTGCTCCATCTAAAGGAATGTTCAGCTCTGTTAGTTCAATCCAATGATCACTAAGAATTGTCTGTGAATGCTTCCGTTTGGTTTTTAGATGAAGTTATTTCCTTTACTACAGTAGGCCTCAAAGCAGTCCAAATCTCCAATCGCAGATTCTACAAAAAGATTGTTTACAACCTGCTCTATCTATAGGAATGTTCAACTCTGTGAGTCGAATGCAATCATCACAAAGTAGTTTCTGAGAATGCTTCCATCTAGTTTTTATGTGAAGATTTTCCTTTTCCACCACAGGCCTCAAAGCCCTCCAAATGTCCACTTGCAGATTCTAGAAAAAGAGGGTTTCAGAGCTGCTCTGTCAAGAGGAAAGTTCAATTCTTGAAGTGGAACACAAACATCACAAAGCAGTTTCTGAGAATGCTTCTGTTTAGTTTTTCTGTGAAGATGAACCCGTTTCCAACGAAATCTTCACAGAGGTCCACATATCCACTTGCAGAATCCAAAGAAAGAGAGTTTCAAAACTGCTCCATCAACAGGATTGTTCACCTCTGTGAGTTGAATGCAGTCATCACAGGAAACATTCTGAGAATGCTTCTGTCTAGGTTTGATGTGAAGATATACCCGTTTCGAAGGAAGGCCACAAAGTGGTCCAAATATCCACTTGCAGATTCTACAAAAAGAGTGTTTGAAAGCTGAACTATGAAAGCAAGGTTCAACTCTGTGAGTTGAATGCAAACATCACAAAGAAGTTTCTCACAATGCTTCCGTGTAGTTCTGGGAAGTTTATCCCGTTTCCAACGAAATCCTCAGAGAAGTCCAAATATCCACTTGCAGATTCTACAGAAAGTGTGTTTGGAATCTGCTCCATCTAAAGGAGTGTTCAGCTCTGTTAGTTCAATCCAATGATCACTACGAATTGTCTGTGAATGCTTCCGTTTGGTTTTTAGATGGAGTTATTTCCTTTACTACAGTAGGCCTCAAAGCAGTCCAAATCTCCAATCGCAGATTCTACAAAAAGATTGTTTACAACCTGCTCTATCTATAGGAATGTTCAACTCTGTGAGTCGAATGCAATCATCACAAAGTAGTTTCTGAGAATGCTTCCATCTAGTTTTTATGTGAAGATTTTCCTTTTCCACCACAGGCCTCAAAGCCCTCCAAATGTCCACTTGCAGATTCTAGAATAAGAGGGTTTCAGAGCTGCTCTGTCAAGAGGAAAGTTCAATTCCTGAAGTGGAACACAAACATCACAAAGCAGTTTCTGAGAATGCTTCTGTTTAGTTTTTCTGTGAAGATGAACCCGTTTCCAACGAAATCTTCACAGAGGTCCACATATCCACTTGCAGAATCCAAAGAAAGAGAGTTTCAAAACTGCTCCATCAACAGGATTGTTCACCTCTGTGAGTTGAATGCAGTCATCACAGGAAACATTCTGAGAATGCTTCTGTCTAGGTTTGATGTGAAGATATACCCGTTTCGAAGGAAGGCCACAAAGTGGTCCAAATATCCACTTGCAGATTCTACAAAAAGAGTGTTTGAAAGCTGAACTATGAAAGCAAGGTTCAACTCTGTGAGTTGAATGCAAACATCACAAAGAAGTTTCTCACAATGCTTCCGTGTAGTTCTGGGAAGTTTAGCCCGTTTCCAACGAAATCCTCAGAGAGGTCCAAATATCCACTTGCAGATTCTACAGAAAGTGTGTTTGGAAACTGCGCCATCTAAAGGAATGTTCAGCTCTGTTAGTTCAATGCAATGATCACTAAGAATTGTCTGTGAATGCTTCCGTTTGGTTTTTAGATGAAGTTATTTCCTTTACTACAGTAGGCCTCAAAGCAGTCCAAATCTCCAATCGCAGATTCTACAAAAAGATTGTTTACAACCTGCTCTATCTATAGGAATGTTCAACTCTGTGAGTCGAATGCAATCATCACAAAGTAGTTTCTGAGAATGCTTCCATCTAGTTTTTATGTGAAGATTTTCCTTTTCCACCACAGGCCTCAAAGCCCTCCAAATGTCCACTTGCAGATTCTAGAAAAAGAGGGTTTCAGAGCTGCTCTGTCAAGAGGAAAGTTCAATTCTTGAAGTGGAACACAAACATCACAAAGCAGTTTCTGAGTATGCTTCTGTTTAGTTTTTCTATGAAGATGAACCCGTTTCCAACGAAATCTTCACAGAGGTCCACATATCCACTTGCAGAATCCAAAGAAAGAGAGTTTCAAAACTCCTCCATCAGCAGGATTGTTCACCTCTGTGAGTTGAATGCAGTCATCACAGGAAACATTCTGAGAATGCTTCTGTCTAGGTTTGATGTGAAGATATACCCGTTTCGAAGGAAGGCCACAAAGTGGTCCAAATATCCACTTGCAGATTCTACAAAAAGAGTGTTTGAAAGCTGAACTATGAAAGCAAGGTTCAACTCTGTGAGTTGAATGCAAACATCACAAAGAAGTTTCTCAGAATGCTTCCGTGTAGTTCTGGGAAGTTTATCCCGTTTCCAACGAAATCCTCAGAGAGGTCCAAATATCCACTTGCAGATTCTACAGAAAGTGTGTTTGGAAACTGCGCCATCTAAAGGAATGTTCAGCTCTGTTAGTTCAATGCAATGATCACTAAGAATTGTCTGTGAATGCTTTCCGTTTGGTTTTTAGATGAAGTTATTTCCTTTACTACAGTAGGCCTCAAAGCAGTCCAAATCTCCAATCGCAGATTCTACAAAAAGATTGTTTACAACCTGCTCTATCTATAGGAATGTTCAACTCTGTGAGTCGAATGCAATCATCACAAAGTAGTTTCTGAGAATGCTTCCATCTAGTTTTTATGTGAAGATTTTCCTTTTCCACCACAGGCCTCAAAGCCCTCCAAATGTCCACTTGCAGATTCTAGAAAAAGAGGGTTTCAGAGCTGCTCTGTCAAGAGGAAAGTTCAATTCTTGAAGTGGAACACAAACATCACAAAGCAGTTTCTGAGAATGTTTCTGTTTAGTTTTTCTGTGAAGATGAACCCGTTTCCAACGAAATCTTCACAGAGGTCCACATATCCACTTGCAGAATCCAAAGAAAGAGAGTTTCAAAACTGCTCCATCAACAGGATTGTTCACCTCTGTGAGTTGAATGCAGTCATCACAGGAAACATTCTGAGAATGCTTCTGTCTAGGTTTGATGTGAAGATATACCCGTTTCGAAGGAAGGCCACAAAGTGGTCCAAATATCCACTTGCAGATTCTACAAAAAGAGTGTTTGAAAGCTGAACTATGAAAGCAAGGTTCAACTCTGTGAGTTGAATGCAAACATCACAAAGAAGTTTCTCACAATGCTTCCGTGTAGTTCTGGGAAGTTTATCCCGTTTCCAACGAAATCCTCAGAGAAGTCCAAATATCCACTTGCAGATTCTACAGAAAGTGGGTTTGGAAACTGCTCCATCTAAAGGAATGTTCAGCTCTGTTAGTTCAATCCAATGATCACTAAGAATTGTCTGTGAATGCTTCCGTTTGGTTTTTAGATGAAGTTATTTCCTTTACTACAGTAGGCCTCAAAGCAGTCCAAATCTCCAATCGCAGATTCTACAAAAAGATTGTTTACAACCTGCTCTATGTATAGGAATGCTCAACTCTGTGAGTCGAATGCAATCATCACAAAGTAGTTTCTGAGAATGCTTCCATCTAGTTTTTATGTGAAGATTTTCCTTTTCCACCACAGGCCTCAAAGCCCTCCAAATGTCCACTTGCAGATTCTAGAAAAAGAGGGTTTCAGAGCTGCTCTGACAAGAGGAAAGTTCAATTCCTGAAGTGGAACACAAACATCACAAAGCAGTTTCTGAGAATGCTTCTGTTTAGTTTTTCTGTGAAGATGAACCCGTTTCCAACGAAATCTTCACAGAGGTCCACATATCCACTTGCAGAATCCAAAGAAAGAGAGTTTCAAAACTGCTCCATCAACAGGATTGTTCACCTCTGTGAGTTGAATGCAGTCATCATAGGAAACATTCTGAGAATGCTTCTGTCTAGGTTTGATGTGAAGATATACCCGTTTCGAAGGAAGGCCACAAAGTGGTCCAAATATCCACTTGCAGATTCTACAAAAAGAGTGTTTGAAAGCTGAACTATGAAAGCAAGGTTCAACTCTGTGAGTTGAATGCAAACATCACAAAGAAGTTTCTCAGAATGCTTCCGTGTAGTTCTGGGAAGTTTATCCCGTTTCCAACGAAATCCTCAGAGAAGTCCAAATATCCACTTGCAGATTCTACAGAAAGTGGGTTTGGAAACTGCTCCATCTAAAGGAATGTTCAGCTCTGTTAGTTCAATCCAATGATCACTAAGAATTGTCTGTGAATGCTTCCGTTTGGTTTTTAGATGAAGTTATTTCCTTTACTACAGTAGGCCTCAAAGCAGTCCAAATCTCCAATCGCAGATTCTACAAAAAGATTGTTTACAACCTGCTCTATCTATAGGAATGTTCAACTCTGTGAGTCGAATGCAATCATCACAAAGTAGTTTCTGAGAATGCTTCCATCTAGTTTTTATGTGAAGATTTTCCTTTTCCACCACAGGCCTCAAAGCCCTCCAAATGTCCACTTGCAGATTCTAGAATAAGAGGGTTTCAGAGCTGCTCTGTCAAGAGGAAAGTTCAATTCCTGAAGTGGAACACAAACATCACAAAGCAGTTTCTGAGAATGCTTCTTTTTAGTTTTTCTGTGAAGATGAACCCGTTTCCAACGAAATCTTCACAGAGGTCCACATATCCACTTGCAGAATCCAAAGAAAGAGAGTTTCAAAACTGCTCCATCAGCAGGATTGTTCACCTCTGTGAGTTGAATGCAGTCATCACAGGAAACATTCTGAGAATGCTTCTGTCTAGGTTTGATGTGAAGATATACCCGTTTCGAAGGAAGGCCACAAAGTGGTCCAAATATCCACTTTCTGTAGATTCTACAAAAAGAGTGTTTGAAAGCTGAACTATGAAAGCAAGGTTCAACTCTGTGAGTTGAATGCAAACATCACAAAGAAGTTTCTCAGAATGCTTCCGTGTAGTTCTGGGAAGTTTATCCCGTTTCCAACGAAATCCTCAGAGAGGTCCAAATATCCACTTGCAGATTCTACAGAAAGTGTGTTTGGAAACTGCGCCATCTAAACGAATGTTCAGCTCTGTTAGTTCAATGCAATGATCACTAAGAATTGTCTGTGAATGCTTCCGTTTGGTTTTTAGATGAAGTTATTTCCTTTACTACAGTAGGCCTCAAAGCAGTCCAAATCTCCAATCGCAGATTCTACAAAAAGATTGTTTACAACCTGCTCTATCTATAGGAATGTTCAACTCTGTGAGTCGAATGCAATCATCACAAAGTAGTTTCTGAGAATGCTTCCATCTAGTTTTTATGTGAAGATTTTCCTTTTCCACCACAGGCCTCAAAGCCCTCCAAATGTCCACTTGCAGATTCTAGAAAAAGAGGGTTTCAGAGCTGCTCTGTCAAGAGGAAAGTTCAATTCCTGAAGTGGAACACAAACATCACAAAGCAGTTTCTGAGAATGCTCCTGTTTAGTTTTTCTGTGAAGATGAACCCGTTTCCAACGAAATCTTCACAGAGGTCCACATATCAACTTGCAGAATCCAAAGAGAGAGAGTTTCAAAAGTGCCCCATCAACAGGATTGTTCACCTCTGTGAGTTGAATGCAGTCATCACAGGAAACATTCTGAGAATGCTTCTGTCTAGGTTTGATGTGAAGATATACCCGTTTCGAAGGAAGGCCACAAAGTGGTCCAAATATCCACTTGCAGATTCTACAAAAAGAGTGTTTGAAAGCTGAGCTATGAAAGCAAGGTTCAACTCTGTGAGTTGAATGCAACCATCACAAAGAAGTTTCTCAGAATGCTTCCCTGTAGTTCTGGGAAGTTTATCCCGTTTCCAACGAAATCCTCAGAGAAGTCCAAATATCCACTTGCAGATTCTACAGAAAGTGGGTTTGGAAACTGCTCCATCTAAAGGAATGTTCAGCTCTGTTAGTTCAATCCAATGATCACTAAGAATTGTCTGTGAATGCTTCCGTTTGGTTTTTAGATGAAGTTATTTCCTTTACTACAGTAGGCCTCAAAGCAGTCCAAATCTCCAATCGCAGATTCTACAAAAAGATTGTTTACAACCTGCTCTATCTATAGGAATGTTCAACTCTGTGAGTCGAATGCAATCATCACAAAGTAGTTTCTGAGAATGCTTCCATCTAGTTTTTATGTGAAGATTTTCCTTTTCCACCACAGGCCTCAAAGCCCTCCAAATGTCCACTTGCAGATTCTAGAATAAGAGGGTTTCAGAGCTGCTCTGTCAAGAGGAAAGTTCAATTCCTGAAGTGGAACACAAACATCACAAAGCAGTTTCTGAGAATGCTTCTGTTTAATTTTTCTGTGAAGATGAACCCGTTTCCAACGAAATCTTCACAGAGGTCCACATATCCACTTGCAGAATCCAAAGAAAGAGAGTTTCAAAACTGCTCCATCAGCAGGATTGTTCACCTCTGTGAGTTGAATGCAGTCATCACAGGAAACATTCTGAGAATGCTTCTGTCTAGGTTTGATGTGAAGATATACCCGTTTCGAAGGAAGGCCACAAAGTGGTCCAAATATCCACTTGCAGATTCTACAAAAAGAGTGTTTGAAAGCTGAACTATGAAAGCAAGGTTCAACTCTGTGAGTTGAATGCAAACATCACAAAGAAGTTTCTCAGAATGCTTCCGTGTAGTTCTGGGAAGTTTATCCCGTTTCCAACGAAATCCTCAGAGAGATCCAAATATCCAGTTGCAGATTCTACAGAAAGTGTGTTTGGAATCTGCTCCATCTAAACAAATGTTCAGCTCTGTTAGTTCAATCCAATGATCACTAAGAATTTTCTGTGAATGCTTCCGTTTGGTTTTTAGATGAAGTTATTTCCTTTACTACAGTAGGCCTCAAAGCAGTCCAAATCTCCAATCGCAGATTCTACAAAAAGATTGTTTTCAACCTGCTCTATCTATAGGAATGTTCAACTCTGTGAGTCGAATGCAATCATCACAAAGTAGTTTCTGAGAATGCTTCCATCTAGTTTTTATGTGAAGATTTTCCTTTTCCACCACAGGCCTCAAAGCCCTCCAAATGTCCACTTGCAGATTCTAGAAAAAGAGGGTTTCAGAGCTGCTCTGTCAAGAGGAAAGTTCAATTCCTGAAGTGGAACACAAACATCACAAAGCAGTTTCTGAGAATGCTCCTGTTTAGTTTTTCTGTGAAGATGAGCACGTTTCCAACGAAATCGTCACAGAGGTCCACATATCCACTTGCAGAATCCAAAGAAAGAGAGTTTCAAAACTGCTCCATCAGCAGGATTGTTCACCTCTGTGAGTTGAATGCAGTCATCACAGGAAACATTCTGAGAATGCTTCTGTCTAGGTTTGATGTGAAGATATACCCGTTTCGAAGGAAGGCCACAAAGTGGTCCAAATATCCACTTGCAGATTCCACAAAAAGAGTGTTTGAAAGCTGAACTATGAAAGCAAGGTTCAACTTTGTGAGTTGAATGCAAACATCACAGAGAAGTTTCTCACAATGCTTCCGTGTAGTTCTGGGAAGTTTATCCCGTTTCCAACGAAATCCTCAGAGAGGTCCAAATATCCACTTGCAGATTCTACAGAAAGTGTGTTTGGAAACTGCGCCATCTAAAAGAATGTTCAGCTCTGTTAGTTCAATGCAATGATCACTAAGAATTGTCTGTGAATGCTTCCGTTTGGTTTTTAGATGAAGTTATTTCCTTTACTACAGTAGGCCTCAAAGCAGTCCAAATCTCCAATCGCAGATTCTACAAAAAGATTGTTTACAACCTGCTCTATCTATAGGAATGTTCAACTCTGTGAGTCGAATGCAATCATCACAAAGTAGTTTCTGAGAATGCTTCCATCTAGTTTTTATGTGAAGATTTTCCTTTTCCACCACAGGCCTCAAAGCCCTCCAAATGTCCACTTGCAGATTCTAGAAAAAGAGGGTTTCAGAGCTGCTCTGTCAAGAGGAAAGTTCAATTCTTGAAGTGGAACACAAACATCACAAAGCAGTTTCTGAGAATGCTTCTGTTTAGTTTTTCTGTGAAGATGAACCCGTTTCCAACGAAATCTTCACAGAGGTCCACATATCCACTTGTAGAATCCAAAGAAAGAGAGTTTCAAAACTGCTCCATCAGCAGGATTGTTCACCTCTGTGAGTTGAATGCAGTCATCACAGGAAACATTCTGAGAATGCTTCTGTCTAGGTTTGATGTGAAGATATACCCGTTTCGAAGGAAGGCCACAAAGTGGTCCAAATATCCACTTGCAGATTCTACAAAAAGAGTGTTTGAAAGCTGAACTATGAAAGCAAGGTTCAACTCTGTGAGTTGAATGCAAACATCACAAAGAAGTTTCTCAGAATGCTTCCGTGTAGTTCTGGGAAGTTTATCCCGTTTCCAACGATATCCTCAGAGAGGTCCACATATCCACTTGCAGATTCTACAGAAAGTGTGTTTGGAAACTGCGCCATCTAAAGGAATGTTCAGCTCTGTTAGTTCAATGCAATGATCACTAAGAATTGTCTGTGAATGCTTCCGTTTGGTTTTTAGATGAAGTTATTTCCTTTACTACAGTAGGCCTCAAAGCAGTCCAAATCTCCAATCGCAGATTCTACAAAAAGATTGTTTACAACCTGCTCTATCTATAGGAATGTTCAACTCTGTGAGTCGAATGCAATCATCACAAAGTAGTTTCTGAGAATGCTTCCATCTAGTTTTTATGTGAAGATTTTCCTTTTCCACCACAGGCCTCAAAGGCCCTCCAAATGTCCACTTGCAGATTCTAGAATAAGAGGGTTTCAGAGCTGCTCGGTCAAGAGGAAAGTTCAATTCTTGAAGTGGAACACAAACATCACAAAGCAGTTTCTGAGAATGCTTCTGTTTAGTTTTTCTGTGAAGATGAACCCGTTTCCAACGAAATCTACACAGAGGTCCACATATCCACTTGCAGAATCCAAAGAAAGAGAGTTTCAAAACTGCTCCATGAGCAGGATTGTTCACATCTGTGAGTTGAATGCAGTCATCACAGGAAACATTCTGAGAATGCTTCTGTCTAGGTTTGATGTGAAGATATACCCGTTTCGAAGGAAGGCCACAAAGTGGTCCAAATATCCACTTGCAGATTCTACAAAAAGAGTGTTTGAAAGCTGAACTATGAAAGCAAGGTTCAACTCTGTGAGTTGAATGCAAACATCACAAAGAAGTTTCTCACAATGCTTCCGTGTAGTTCTGGGAAGTTTATCCCGTTTCCAACGAAATCCTCAGAGAAGTCCAAATATCCACTTGCAGATTCTACAGAAAGTGGGTTTGGAAACTGCTCCATCTAAAGGAATGTTCAGCTCTGTTAGTTCAATCCAATGATCACTAAGAATTGTCTGTGAATGCTTCCGTTTGGTTTTTAGATGAAGTTATTTCCTTTACTACAGTAGGCCTCAAAGCAGTCCAAATCTCCAATCGCAGATTCTACAAAAAGATTGTTTACAACCTGCTCTATCTATAGGAATGTTCAACTCTGTGAGTCGAATGCAATCATCACAAAGTAGTTTCTGAGAATGCTTCCATCTAGTTTTTATGTGAAGATTTTCCTTTTCCACCACAGGCCTCAAAGCCCTCCAAATGTCCACTTGCAGATTCTAGAAAAAGAGGGTTTCAGAGCTGCTCTGTCAAGAGGAAAGTTCAATTCCTGAAGTGGAACACAAACATCACAAAGCAGTTTCTGAGAATGCTCCTGTTTAGTTTTTCTGTGAAGATGAACCCTTTTCCAACGAAATCTTCACAGAGGTCCACATATCCACTTGCAGAATCCAAAGAAAGAGAGTTTCAAAACTGCTCCATCAGCAGGATTGTTCACCTCTGTGAGTTGAATGCAGTCATCACAGGAAACATTCTGAGAATGCTTCTGTCTAGGTTTGATGTGAAGATATACCCGTTTCGAAGGAAGGCCACAAAGTGGTCCAAATATCCACTTGCAGATTCTACAAAAAGAGTGTTTGAAAGCTGAACTATGAAAGCAAGGTTCAACTCTGTGAGTTGAATGCAAACATCACAAAGAAGTTTCTCAGAATGCTTCCGTGTAGTTCTGGGAAGTTTATCCCGTTTCCAACGAAATCCTCAGAGAGGTCCAAATATCCACTTGCAGATTCTACAGAAAGTGTGTTTGGAAACTGCGCCATCTAAAGGAATGTTCAGCTCTGTTAGTTCAATCCAATGATCACTAAGAATTGTCTTTGAATGCTTCCGTTTGGTTTTTAGATGAAGTTATTTCCTTTACTACAGTAGGCCTCAAAGCAGTCCAAATCTCCAATCGCAGATTCTACAAAAAGATTGTTTACAACCTGCTCTATCTATAGGAATGTTCAACTCTGTGAGACGTTGCAATCATCACAAAGTAGTTTCTGAGAATGCTTCCATCTAGTTTTTATGTGAAGATTTTCCTTTTCCACCACAGGCCTCAAAGCCCTCCAAATGTCCACTTGCAGATTCTAGAAAAAGAGGGTTTCAGAGTTGCTCTGTCAAGAGGAAAGTTCAATTCTTGAAGTGGAACACAAACATCACAAAGCAGTTTCTGAGAATGCTTCTGTTTAGTTTTTCTGTGAAGATGAACCCGTTTCCAACGAAATCTTCACAGAGGTCCACATATCCACTTGCAGAATCCAAAGAAAGAGAGTTTCAAAACTGCTCCATCAGCAGGATTGTTCACCTCTGTGAGTTGAATGCAGTCATCACAGGAAACATTCTGAGAATGCTTCTGTCTAGGTTTGATGTGAAGATATACCCGTTTCGAAGGAAGGCCACAAAGTGGTCCAAATATCCACTTGCAGATTCTACAAAAAGAGTGTTTGAAAGCTAAACTATGAAAGCAAGTTTCAACTCTGTGAGTTGAATGCAAACATCACAAAGAAGTTTCTCAGAATGCTGCCGTGTAGTTCTGGGAAGTTTATCCCGTTTCCAACGAAATCCTCAGAGAAGTCCAAATATCCACTTGCAGATTCTACAGAAAGTGTGTTTGGAAACTGCGCCATCTAAACTAATTTTCAGCTCTGTTAGTTCAATCCAATGATCACTAAGAATTGTCTTTGAATACCTCCGTTTGGTTTTTAGATGAAGTTATTTCCTTTACTACAGTAGGCCTCAAAGCAGTCCAAATCTCCAATCGCAGATTCTACAAAAGATTGTTTACACCCTGCTCTATCTATAGGAATGTTCAACTCTGTGAGTCGAATGCAATCATCACAAAGTAGTTTCTGAGAATGCTTCCATCCAGTTTTTATGGGAAGATTTTCCTTTTCCACCACAGGCCTCAAAGCCCTCCAAATGTCCACTTGCAGATTCTAGAAAAAGAGGGTTTCAGAGCTGCTCGGTCAAGAGGAAAGTTCAATTCTTGAAGTGGAACACAAACATCACAAAGCAGTTTCTGAGAATGCTCCTGTTTAGTTTTTCTGTGAAGATGAACCCGTTTCCAACGAAATCTTCACAGAGTTCCACATATCCACTTGCAGAATCCAAACAAAGGGAGATTCAAAACTGCTCCATCAACAGGATTGTTCACCTCTGTGAGTTGAATGCAGTTATCACAGGAAACATTCTGAGAATGCTTCTGTCTAGGTTTGATGTGAAGATATACCCGTTTCGAAGGAAGGCCACAAAGTGGTCCAAATATCCACTTGCAGATTCTACAAAAAGAGTGTTTGAAAGCTGAACTATGAAAGCAAGGTTCAACTCTGTGAGTTGAATGCAAACATCACAAAGAAGTTTCTCACAATGCTTCCGTGTAGTTCTGGGAAGTTTATCCCGTTTCCAACGAAATCCTCAGAGAGGTCCAAATATCCACTTGCAGATTCTACAGAAAGTGTGTTTGGAAACTGCGCCATCTAAAGGAATGTTCAGCTCTGTTAGTTCAATGCAATGATCACTAAGAATTGTCTGTGAATGCTTCCGTTTGGTTTTTAGATGAAGTTATTTCCTTTACTACAGTAGGCCTCAAAGCAGTCCAAATCTCCAATCGCAGATTCTACAAAAAGATTGTTTACAACCTGCTCTATCTATAGGAATGTTCAACTCTGTGAGTCGAATGCAATCATCACAAAGTAGTTTCTGAGAATGCTTCCATCTAGTTTTTATGTGAAGATTTTCCTTTTCCACCACAGGCCTCAAAGCCCTCCAAATGTCCACTTGCAGATTCTATTATAAGAGGGTTTCAGAGCTGCTCTGTCAAGAGGAAAGTTCAATTCCTGAAGTGGAACACAAACATCACAAAGCAGTTTCTGAGAATGTTTCCTGTTTAGTTTTTCTGTGAAGATGAACCCGTTTCCAACGAAATCTTCACAGAGGTCCACATATCCACTTGCAGAATCCAAAGAAAGAGAGTTTCAAAAGTGCTCCATCAACAGGATTGTTCACCTCTGTGAGTTGAATGCAGTCATCACAGGAAACATTCTGAGAATGCTTCTGTCTAGGTTTGATGTGAAGATATACCCGTTTCGAAGGAAGGCCACAAAGTGGTCCAAATATCCACTTGCAGATTCTACAAAAAGAGTGTTTGAAAGCTGAACTATGAAAGCAAGGTTTAACTCTGTGAGTTGAATGCAAACATCACAAAGAAGTTTCTCAGAATGCTTCCGTGTAGTTCTGGGAAGTTTATCCCGTTTCCAACGAAATCCTCAGAGAAGTCCAAATATCCACTTGCAGATTCTACAGAAAGTGTGTTTGGAAACTGCTCCATCTAAAGGAATGTTCAGCTCTGTTAGTTCAAAGCAATGATCACTAAGAATTGTCTGTGAATGCTTCCGTTTGGTTTTTAGATGAAGTTATTTCCTTTACTACAGTAGGCCTCAAAGCAGTCCAAATCTCCAATCGCAGATTCTACAAAAAGATTGTTTACAACCTGCTCTATCTATAGGAATGTTCAACTCTGTGAGTCGAATGCAATCATCACAAAGTAGTTTCTGAGAATGCTTCCATCTAGTTTTTATGTGAAGATTTTCCTTTTCCACCACAGGCCTCAAAGCCCTCCAAATGTCCACTTGCAGATTCTAGAAAAAGAGGGTTTCAGAGCTGCTCTGTCAAGAGGAAAGTTCAATTCTTGAAGTGGAACACAAACATCACAAAGTAGTTTCTGAGAATGCTTCTGATTAGTTTTTCTGTGAAGATGAACCCGTTTCCAACGAAATCTTCACAGAGGTCCACATATCCACTTGCAGAATCCAAAGAAAGAGAGTTTCAAAACTGCTCCATCAGCAGGATTGTTCACCTCTGTGAGTTGAATGCAGTCATCACAGGAAACATTCTGAGAATGCTTCTGTATAGGTTTGATGTGAAGATATACCCGTTTCGAAGGAAGGCCACAAAGTGGTCCAAATATCCACTTGCAGATTCTACAAAAAGAGTGTTTGAAAGCTGAACTATGAAAGCAAGGTTCAACTCTGTGAGTTGAATGCAAACATCACAAAGAAGTTTCTCAGAATACTTCCGTGTAGTTCTGGGAAGTTTATCCCGTTTCCAACGAAATCCTCAGAGAAGTCCAAATATCCACTTGCAGATTCTACAGAAAGTGTGTTTGGAAACTGCTCCATCTAAAGGAATGTTCAGCTCTGTTAGTTCAATCCAATGATCACTAAGAATTGTCTGTGAATGTTTCCGTTTGGTTTTTAGATGAAGTTATTTCCTTTACTACAGTAGGCCTCAAAGCAGTCCAAATCTCCAATCGCAGATTCTACAAAAAGATTGTTTACAACCTGCTCTATCTATAGGAATGTTCAACTCTGTGAGTCGAATGCAATCATCACAAAGTAGTTTCTGAGAATGCTTCCATCTAGTTTTTATGTGAAGATTTTCCTTTTCCACCACAGGCCTCAAAGCCCTCCAAATGTCCACTTGCAGATTCTAGAAAAAGAGGGTTTCAGAGCTGCTCTGTCAAGAGGAAAGTTCAATTCTTGAAGTGGAACACAAACATCACAAAGCAGTTTCTGAGAATGCTCCTGTTTAGTTTTTCTGTGAAGATGAACCCGTTTCCAACGAAATGTTCACAGAGGTCCACATATCCACTTGCAGAATCCAAAGAATGAGAGTTTCAAAACTGCTCCATCAGCAGGATTGTTCACCTCTGTGAGTTGAATGCAGTCATCACAGGAAACATTCTGAGAATGCTTCTGTCTAGGTTTGATGTGAAGATATACCCGTTTCGAAGGAAGGCCACAAAGTGGTCCAAATATCCACTTGCAGATTCCACAAAAAGAGTGTTTGAAAGCTGAACTATGAAAGCAAGGTTCAACTCTGTGAGTTGAATGCAAACATCACAAAGAAGTTTCTCACAATGCTTCCGTGTAGTTCTGGGAAGTTTATCCCGTTTCCAACGAAATCCTCAGAGAGGTCCAAATATCCACTTGCAGATTCTACAGAAAGTGTGTTTGGAAACTGCGCCATCTAAAGGAATGTTCAGCTCTGTTAGTTCAATGCAATGATCACTAAGAATTGTCTGTGAATGCTTCCGTTTGGTTTTTAGATGAAGTTATTTCCTTTACTACAGTAGGCCTCAAAGCAGTCCAAATCTCCAATCGCAGATTCTACAAAAAGATTGTTTACAACCTGCTCTATCTATAGGAATGTTCAACTCTGTGAGTCGAATGCAATCATCACAAAGTAGTTTCTGAGAATGCTTCCATCTAGTTTTTATGTGAAGATTTTCCTTTTCCACCACAGGCCTCAAAGCCCTCCAAATGTCCACTTGCAGAATCTAGAAAAAGAGGGTTTCAGAGCTGCTCTGTCAAGAGGAAAGTTCAATTCTTGAAGTGGAACACAAACATCACAAAGCAGTTTCTGAGAATGCTTCTGTTTAGTTTTTCTGTGAAGATGAACCCGTTTCCAACGAAATCTTCACAGAGGTCCACATATCCACTTGCAGAATCCAAAGAAAGAGAGTTTCAAAACTGCTCCATCAGCAGGATTGTTCACCTCTGTGAGTTGAATGCAGTCATCACAGGAAACATTCTGAGAATGCTTCTGTCTAGGTTTGATGTGAAGATATACCCGTTTCGAAGGAAGGCCACAAAGTGGTCCAAATATCCACTTGCAGATTCTACAAAAAGAGTGTTTGAAAGCTGAACTATGAAAGCAAGGTTCAACTCTGTGAGTTGAATGCAAACATCACAAAGAAGTTTCTCACAATGCTTCCGTGTAGTTCTGGGAAGTTTATCCCGTTTCCAACGAAATCCTCAGAGAGGTCCAAATATCCACTTGCAGATTCTACAGAAAGTGTGTTTGGAAACTGCGCCATCTAAAGGAATGTTCAGCTCTGTTAGTTCAATCCAATGATCACTAAGAATTGTCTGTGAATGCTTCCGTTTGGTTTTTAGATGAAGTTATTTCCTTTACTACAGTAGGCCTCAAAGCAGTCCAAATCTCCAATCACAGATTCTACAAAAAGATTGTTTACAACCTGCTCTATGTATAGGAATGTTCAACTCTGTGAGTCGAATGCAATCATCACAAAGTAGTTTCTGAGAATGCTTCCATCTAGTTTTTATGTGAAGATTTTCCTTTTCCACCACAGGCCTCAAAGCCCTCCAAATGTCCACTTGCAGATTCTAGAAAAAGAGGGTTTCAGAGCTGCTCTGTCAAGAGGAAAGTTCAATTCTTGAAGTGGAACACAAACATCACAAAGCAGTTTCTGAGAATGCTCCTGTTTAGTTTTTCTGTGAAGATGAACCCGTTTCCAACGAAATCTACACAGAGGTCCACATATCCACTTGCAGAATCCAAAGAAAGAGAGTTTCAAAACTGCTCCATCAGCAGGATTGTTCACCTCTGTGAGTTGAATGCAGTCATCACAGGAAACATTCTGAGAATGCTTCTGTCTAGGTTTGATGTGAAGATATACCCGTTTCGAAGGAAGGCCACAAAGTGGTCCAAATATCCACTTGCAGATTCTACAAAAAGAGTGTTTGAAAGCTGAACTATGAAAGCAAGGTTCAACTCTGTGAGTTGAATGCAAACATCACAAAGAAGTTTCTCAGAATGCTTCCGTGTAGTTCTGGGAAGTTTATCCCGTTTCCAACGAAATCCTCAGAGAGGTCCAAATATCCACTTGCAGATTCTACAGAAAGTGTGTTTGGAAACTGCTCCATCTAAAGGAATGTTCAGCTCTGTTAGTTCAATGCAATGATCACTAAGAATTGTCTGTGAATGCTTCCGTTTGGTTTTTAGATGAAGTTATTTCCTTTACTACAGTAGGCCTCAAAGCAGTCCAAATCTCCAATCGCAGATTCTACAAAAAGATTGTTTACAACCTGCTCTATCTATAGGAATGTTCAACTCTGTGAGTCGAATGCAATCATCACAAAGTAGTTTCTGAGAATGCTTCCATCTAGTTTTTATGTGAAGATTTTCCTTTTCCACCACAGGCCTCAAAGCCCTCCAAATGTCCACTTGCAGATTCTAGAAAAAGAGGGTTTCAGAGCTGCTCTGTCAAGAGGAAAGTTCAATTCTTGAAGTGGAACACAAACATCACAAAGCAGTTTCTGAGAATGCTTCTGTTTAGTTTTTCTGTGAAGATGAACCCGTTTCCAACGAAATTTTCACAGAGGTCCACATATCCACTTGCAGAATCCAAAGAAAGAGAGTTTCAAAACTGCTCCATCAACAGGATTGTTCACCTCTGTGAGTTGAATGCAGTCATCACAGGAAACATTCTGAGAATGCTTCTGTCTAGGTTTGATGTGAAGATATACCCGTTTCGAAGGAAGGCCACAAAGTGGTCCAAATATCCACTTGCAGATTCTACAAAAAGAGTGTTTGAAAGCTGAACTATGAAAGCAAGGTTCAACTCTGTGAGTTGAATGCAAACATCACAAAGAAGTTTCTCAGAATGCTTCCGTGTAGTTCTGGGAAGTTTATCCCGTTTCCAACGAAATCCTCAGAGAGGTCCAAATATCCACTTGCAGATTCTACAGAAAGTGTGTTTGGAAACTGCGCCATCTAAGGGAATGTTCAGCTCTGTTAGTTCAATCCAATGATCACTAAGAATTGTCTGTGAATGCTTCCGTTTGGTTTTTAGATGAAGTTATTTCCTTTACTACAGTAGGCCTCAAAGCAGTCCAAATCTCCAATCGCAGATTCTACAAAAAGATTGTTTACAACCTGCTCTATCTATAGGAATGTTCAACTCTGTGAGTCGAATGCTATCATCACAAAGTAGTTTCTGAGAATGCTTCCATCTAGTTTTTATGTGAAGATTTTCCTTTTCCACCACAGGCCTCAAAGCCCTCCAAATGTCCACTTGCAGATTCTAGAAAAAGAGGGTTTCAGAGCTGCTCTGTCAAGAGGAAAGTTCAATTCTTGAAGTGGAACACAAACATCACAAAGTAGTTTCTGAGAATGCTTCTGTTTAGTTTTTCTGTGAAGATGAACCCGTTTCCAACGAAATCTTCACAGAGGTCCACATATCAACTTGCAGAATCCAAAGAAAGAGAGTTTCAAAAGTGCTCCATCAACAGGATTGTTCACCTCTGTGAGTTGAATGCAGTCATCACAGGAAACATTCTGAGAATGCTTCTGTCTAGGTTTGATGTGAAGATATACCCGTTTCGAAGGAAGGCCACAAAGTGGTCCAAATATCCACTTGCAGATTCTACAAAAAGAGTGTTTGAAAGCTGCACTATGAAAGCAAGGTTCAACTCTGTGAGTTGAATGCAAACATCACAAAGAAGTTTCTCAGCATGCTTCCGTGTAGTTCTGGGAAGTTTATCCCGTTTCCAACGAAATCCTCAGAGAGGTCCAAATATCCACTTGCAGATTCTACAGAAAGTGTGTTTGCAAACTGCGCCATCTAAAGCAATTTTCAGCTCTGTTTGTTCAATGCAATGATCACTAAGAATTGTCTGTGAATGCTTCCGTTTGGTTTTTAGATGAAGTTATTTCCTTTACTACAGTAGGCCTCAAAGCAGTCCAAATCTCCAATCGCAGATTCTACAAAAAGATTGTTTACAACCTGCTCTATCTATAGGAATGTTCAACTCTGTGAGTCGAATGCAATCATCACAAAGTAGTTTCTGAGAATGCTTCCATCTAGTTTTTATGTGAAGATTTTCCTTTTCCACCACAGGCCTCAAAGCCCTCCAAATGTCCACTTGCAGATTCTAGAAAAAGAGGGTTTCAGAGCTGCTCTTTCAAGAGGAAAGTTCAATTCCTGAAGTGGAACACAAACATCACAAAACAGTTTCTGAGAATGCTTCTGTTTAGTTTTTCTGTGAAGATGAACCCGTTTCCAACGAAATCTTCACAGAGGTCCACATATCAACTTGCAGAATCCAAAGAAAGAGAGTTTCAAAACTGCTCCATCAACAGGATTGTTCACCTCTGTGAGTTGAATGCAGTCATCACAGGAAACATTCTGAGAATGCTTCTGTCTAGGTTTGATGTGAAGATATACCCGTTTCGAAGGAAGGCCAGAAAGTGGTCCAAATATCCACTTGCAGATTCTACAAAAAGAGTGTTTGAAAGCTGAACTATGAAAGCAAGGTTCAACTCTGTGAGTTGAATGCAAACATCACAAAGAAGTTTCTCAGAATGCTTCCGTGTAGTTCTGGGAAGTATATCCCGTTTCCAACGAAATCCTCAGAGAAGTCCAAATATCCACTTGCAGATTCTACAGAAAGTGGGTTTGGAAACTGCTCCATCTAAAGGAATGTTCAGCTCTGTTAGTTCAATGCAATGATCACTAAGAATTGTCTGTGAATGCTTCCGTTTGGTTTTTAGATGAAGTTATTTCCTTTACTACAGTAGGCCTCAAAGCAGTCCAAATCTCCAATCGCAGATTCTACAAAAAGATTGTTTACAACCTGCTCTATCTATAGGAATGTTCAACTCTGTGAGTCGAATGCAATCATCACAAAGTAGTTTCTGAGAATGCTTCCATCTAGTTTTTATGTGAAGATTTTCCTTTTCCACCACAGGCCTCAAAGCCCTCCAAATGTCCACTTGCAGATTCTAGAAAAAGAGGGTTTCAGAGCTGCTCTGTCAAGAGGAAAGTTCAATTCTTGAAGTGGAACACAAACATCACAAAGTAGTTTCTGAGAATGCTTCTGTTTAGTTTTTCTGTGAAGATGAACCCGTTTCCAACGAAATCTTCACAGAGGTCCACATATCAACTTGCAGAATCCAAAGAGAGAGAGTTTCAAAAGTGCCCCATCAACAGGATTGTTCACCTCTGTGAGTTGAATGCAGTCATCACAGGAAACATTCTGAGAATGCTTCTGTCTAGGTTTGATGTGAAGATATACCCGTTTCGAAGGAAGGCCACAAAGTGGTCCAAATATCCACTTGCAGATTCCACAAAAAGAGTGTATGAAAGCTGAACTAGGAAAGGAAGGTTCAACTCTGTGAGTTGAATGCAAACATCACAAAGAAGTTTCTCACAATGCTTCCGTGTAGTTCTGGGAAGTTTATCCCGTTTCCAACGAAATCCTCAGAGAAGTCCAAATATCCACTTTCAGATTCTACAGAAAGTGTGTTTGGAAACTGCTCCATCTAAAGGAATGTTCAGCTCTGTTAGTTCAATCCAATGATCACTAAGAATTGTCTGTGAATGCTTCCGTTTGGTTTTTAGATGAAGTTATTTCCTTTACTACAGTAGGCCTCAAAGCAGTCCAAATCTCCAATCGCAGATTCTACAAAAAGATTGTTTACAACCTGCTCTATCTATAGGAATGTTCAACTCTGTGAGTCGAATGCAATCATCACAAAGTAGTTTCTGAGAATGCTTCCATCTAGTTTTTATGTGAAGATTTTCCTTTTCCACCACAGGCCTCAAAGCCCTCCAAATGTCCACTTGCAGATTCTAGAAAAAGAGGGTTTCAGAGCTGCTCTGTCAAGAGGAAAGTTCAATTCTTGAAGTGGAACACAAACATCACAAAGCAGTTTCTGAGAATGCTTCTGTTTAGTTTTTCTGTGAAGATGAACCAGTTTCCAACGAAATCTTCACAGAGGTCCACATATCAACTTGCAGAATCCAAAGAAAGAGAGTTACAAAACTGTTCCATCAACAGGATTGTTCACCTCTGTGAGTTGAATGCAGTCATCACAGGAAACATTCTGAGAATGCTTCTGTCTAGGTTTGATGTGAAGATATACCCGTTTCGAAGGAAGGCCACAAAGTGGTCCAAATATCCACTTGCAGATTCTACAAAAAGAGTGTTTGAAAGCTGAACTATGAAAGCAAGGTTCAACTCTGTGAGTTGAATGCAAACATCAGAAAGAAGTTTCTCAGAATGCTTCCCTGTAGTTCTGGGAAGTTTATCCCGTTTCCAACGAAATCCTCCGAGAAGTCCAAATATCCACTTGCAGATTCTACAGAAAGTGGGTTTGGAAACTGCTCCATCTAAAGGAATGTTCAGCTCTGTTAGTTCAATCCAATGATCACTAAGAATTGTCTGTGAATGCTTCCGTTTGGTTTTTAGATGAAGTTATTTCCTTTACTACAGTAGGCCTCAAAGCAGTCCAAATCTCCAATCGCAGATTCTACAAAAAGATTGTTTACAACCTGCTCTATCTATAGGAATTTTCAACTCTGTGAGTCGAATGCAATCATCACAAAGTAGTTTCTGAGAATGCTTCCATCTAGTTTTTATGTGAAGATTTTCCTTTTCCACCACAGGCCTCAAAGCCCTCCAAATATCCACTTGCGGATTCTAGAAAAAGAGGGTTTCAGAGCTGCTCTGTCAAGAGGAAAGTTCAATTCCTGAAGTGGAACAAAAACATCACAAAGCAGTTTCTGAGAATGCTCCTGTTTAGTTTTTCTGTGAAGATGAACCCGTTTCCAACGAAATCTTCACAGAGGTCCACATATCCACCTGCAGAATCCAAAGAAAGAGAGTTTCAAAACTGCTCCATCAGCAGGATTGTTCACCTCTGTGAGTTGAATGCAGTCATCACAGGAAACATTCCGAGAATGCTTCTGTCTAGGTTTGATGTGAAGATATACCCGTTTCGAAGGAAGGCCACAAAGTGGTCCAAATATCCACTTGCAGATTCTACAAAAAGAGTGTTTGAAAGCTGAACTATGAAAGCAAGGTTCAACTCGGTGTGTTGAATGCAAACATCACAAAGAAGTTTCTCAGAATGCTTCCGTGTAGTTCTGGGAAGTTTATCCCGTTTCCAACGAAATCCTCAGAGAGGTCCAAATATCCACTTGCAGATTCTACAGAAAGAGTGTTTGGAAACTCCTCCATCTAAAGGAATGTTCAGCTCTGTTAGTTCAAACCAATGATCACTAAGAATTGTCTGTGAATGCTTCCGTTTGGTTTTTAGATGAAGTTATTTCCTTTACTACAGTAGGCCTCAAAGCAGTCCAAATCTCCAATCGCAGATTCTACAAAAAGATTGTTTACAACCTGCTCTATCTATAGGAATGTTCAACTCTGTGAGTCGAATGCAATCATCACAAAGTAGTTTCTGAGAATGCTTCCATCTAGTTTTTATGTGAAGATTTTCCTTTTCCACCACAGGCCTCAAAGCCCTCCAAATGTCCACTTGCAGATTCTAGAATAAGAGGGTTTCAGAGCTGCTCTGTCAAGAGGAAAGTTCAATTCCTGAAGTGGAACACAAACATCACAAAGCAGTTTCTGAGAATGCTCCTGTTTAGTTTTTCTGTGAAGATGAACCCGTTTCCAACGAAATCTTCACAGAGGTCCACATATCCACTTGCAGAATCCAAAGAGAGAGAGTTTCAAAACTGCTCCATCAACAGGATTGTTCGCCTCTGTGAGTTGAATGCAGTCATCACAGGAAACATTCTGGGAATGCTTCTGTCTAGGTTTGATGTGAAGATATACCCGTTTCGAAGGAAGGCCACAAAGTGGTCCAAATATCCACTTGCAGATTCTACAAAAAGAGTGTTTGAAAGCTGAACTATGAAAGCAAGGTTCAACTCTGTGAGTTGAATGCAAACATCACAAAGAAGTTTCTCAGAATGCTTCCGTGTAGTTCTGGGAAGTTTATCCCGTTTCCAACGAAATCCTCAGAGAGGTCCAAATATCCACTTGCAGATTCTACAGAAAGTGTGTTTGGAAACTGCGCCATCTAAGGGAATGTTCAGCTCTGTTAGTTCAATCCAATGATCACTAAGAATTGTCTGTGAATGCTTCCGTTTGGTTTTTAGATGAAATTATTTCCTTTACTACAGTAGGCCTCAAAGCAGTCCAAATTTCCAATCGCAGATTCTACAAAAAGATTGTTTACAACCTGCTCTATCTATAGGAATGTTCAACTCCTGTGAGTCGAATGCAATCATCGCAAAGTAGTTTCTGAGAATGCTTCCATCTAGTTTTTATGTGAAGATTTTCCTTTTCCACCACAGGCCTCAAAGCCCTCCAAATGTCCACTTGCAGATTCTAGAAAAGGAGGGTTTCAGAGCTGCTCTGTCAAGAGGAAAGTTCAATTCCTGAAGTGGAACACAAACATCACAAAGCAGTTTCTGAGAATGCTCCTGTTTAGTTTTTCTGTGAAGATGAACCCGTTTCCAACGAAATCTTCACAGAGGTCCACATATCCACTTGCAGAATCCAAAGAAAGAGAGTTTCAAAACTGCTCCATCAGCAGGATTGTTCACCTCTGTGAGTTGAATGCAGTCATCACAGGAAACATTCTGAGAATGCTTCTGTCTAGGTTTGATGTGAAGATATACCCGTTTCGAAGGAAGGCCACAAAGTGGTCCAAATATCCACTTGCAGATTCTACAAAAAGAGTGTTTGAAAGCTGAACTATGAAAGCAAGGTTCAACTCTGTGAGTTGAATGCAAACATCACAAAGAAGTTTCTCAGAATGCTTCCGTGTAGTTCTGGGAAGTTTATCCCGTTTCCAACGAAATCCTCAGAGAGGTCCAAATATCCACTTGCAGATTCTACAGAAAGTGTGTTTGGAAACTGCGCCATCTAAAGGAATGTTCAGCTCTGTTAGTTCAATGCAATGATCACTAAGAATTGTCTGTGAATGCTTCCGTTTGGTTTTTAGATGAAGTTATTTCCTTTACTACAGTAGGCCTCAAAGCAGTCCAAATCTCCAATCGCAGATTCTACAAAAAGATTGTTTACAACCTGCTCTACCTATAGGAATGTTCAACTCTGTGAGTCGAATGCAATCATCAGAAAGTAGTTTCTGAGAATGCTTCCATCTAGTTTTTATGTGAAGATTTTCCTTTTCCACCACAGGCCTCAAAGCCCTCCAAATGTCCACTTGCAGATTCTAGAATAAGAGGGTTTTAGAGCTGCTCTGTCAAGAGGAAAGTTCAATTCCTGAAGTGGAACACAAACATCACAAAGCAGTTTCTGAGAATGCTTCTGTTTAGTTTTTCTGTGAAGATGAACCCGTTTCCAACGAAATCTTCACAGAGGTCCACATATCAACTTGCAGAATCCAAAGAAAGAGAGTTTCAAAAGTGCTCCATCAACAGGATTGTTCACCTCTGTGAGTTGAATGCAGTCATCACAGGAAACATTCTGAGAATGCTTCTGTCTAGGTTTGATGTGAAGATATACCCGTTTCGAAGGAAGGCCACAAAGTGGTCCAAATATCCACTTGCAGATTCTACAAAAAGAGTGTTTGAAAGCTGAACTATGAAAGCAAGGTTCAACTCTGTGAGTTGAATGCAAACATCACAAAGAAGTTTCTCAGCATGCTTCCGTGTAGTTCTGGGAAGTTTATCCCGTTTCCAACGAAATCCTCAGAGAGGTCCAAATATCCACTTGCAGATTCTACAGAAAGTGTGTTTGGAAACAGCGCCATCTAAAGGAGTGTTCAGCTCTGTTAGTTCAATCCAATGATCACTAAGAATTGTCTGTGAATGCTTCCGTTTGGTTTTTACATGAAGTTATTTCCTTTACTACAGTAGGCCTCAAAGCAGTCCAAATCTCCAATCGCAGATTCTACAAAAAGATTGTTTACAACCTGCTCTATCTATAGGAATGTTCAACTCTGTGAGTCGAATGCAATCATCACAAAGTAGTTTCTGAGAATGCTTCCATCTAGTTTTTATGTGAAGATTTTCCTTTTCCACCACTGGCCTCAAAGCCCTCCAAATGTCCACTTGCAGATTCTAGAATAAGAGGGTTTCAGAGCTGCTCTGTCAAGAGGAAAGTTCAATTCCTGAAGTGGAACACAAAAATCACAAAGCAGTTTCTGAGAATGCTTCTGTTTAGTTTTTCTGTGAAGATGAACCCGTTTCCAACGAAATCTTCACAGAGGTCCACATATCAACTTGCAGAATCCAAAGAAAGAGAGTTTCAAAAGTGCTCCATCAACAGGATTGTTCACCTCTGTGAGTTGAATGCAGTCATCACAGGAAACATTCTGAGAATGCTTCTGTCTAGGTTTGATGTGAAGATATACCCGTTTCGAAGGAAGGCCACAAAGTGGTCCAAATATCCACTTGCAGATTCTACAAAAAGAGTGTTTGAAAGCTGAACTATGAAAGCAAGGTTCAACTCTGTGAGTTGAATGCAAACATCACAAAGAAGTTTCTCAGCATGCTTCCGTGTAGTTCTGGGAAGTTTATCCCGTTTCCAACGAAATCCTCAGAGAAGTCCAAATATCCACTTGCAGATTCTACAGAAAGTGTGTTTGGAAACTGCGCCATCTAAAGGAATGTTCAGCTCTGTTAGTTCAATGCAATGATCACTAAGAATTGTCTGTGAATGCTTCCGTTTGGTTTTTAGATGAAGTTATTTCCTTTACTACAGTAGGCCTCAAAGCAGTCCAAATCTCCAATCGCAGATTCTACAAAAAGATTGTTTACAACCTGCTCTATGTATAGGAATGTTCAACTCTGTGAGTCGAATGCAATCATCACAAAGTAGTTTCTGAGAATGCTTCCATCTAGTTTTTATGGGAAGATTTTCCTTTTCCACCACAGGCCTCAAAGCCCTCCAAATGTCCACTTGCAGATTCTAGAAAAAGAGGGTTTCAGAGCTGCTCTGTCAAGAGGAAAGTTCAATTCTTGAAGTGGAACACAAACATCACAAAGCAGTTTCTGAGAATGCTCCTGTTTAGTTTTTCTGTGAAGATGAACCCGTTTCGAAGGAAGGCCCCAAAGTGGTCCAAATATCCACTTGCAGATTCTACAAAAAGAGTGTTTGAAAGCTGAACTTTGAAAGCAAGGTTCAACTCTTTGAGTTGAATGCAAACATCACAAAGAAGTTTCTCAGAATGCTTCCGTGTAGTTCTGGGAAGTTTAGCCCTTTTCCAACGAAATCCTCAGAGAGGTCCAAATATCCACTTGCAGATTCTACAGAAAGTGTGTTTGGAAACTGTGCCATCTAAAGGAATGTTCAGCTCTGTTAGTTCAATCCAATGATCACTAAGAATTTTCTGTGAATGCTTCCGTTTGGTTTTTAGATGAAGTTATTTCCTTTACTACAGTAGGCCTCAAAGCAGTCCAAATCTCCAATCGCAGATTCTACAAAAAGATTGTTTACAACCTGCTCTATCTATAGGAATGTTCAACTCTGTGAGTCGAATGCAATCATCACAAAGTAGTTTCTGAGAATGCTTCCATCTAGTTTTTATGTGAAGATTTTCCTTTTCCACCACAGGCCTCAAAGCCCTCCAAATGTCCACTTGCAGATTCTAGAAAAAGAGGGTTTCAGAGCTGCTCTGTCAAGAGGAAAGTTCAATTCTTGAAGTGGAACACAAACATCACAAAGTAGTTTCTGAGAATGCTTTTGTTTAGTTTTTCTGTGGAGATGAACCCGTTTCCAACGAAATCTTCACAGAGGTCCACATATCAACTTGCAGAATCCAAAGAAAGAGAGTTTCAAAAGTGCCCCATCAACAGGATTGTTCACCTCTGTGAGTTGAATGCAGTCATCACAGGAAACATTCTGAGAATGCTTCTGTCTAGGTTTGATGTGAAGATATACCCGTTTCGAAGGAAGGCCACAAAGTGGTCCAAATATCCACTTGCAGATTCTACAAAAAGAGTGTTTGAAAGCTGAACTATGAAAGCAAGGTTCAACTCTGTGAGTTGAATGCAAACATCACAAAGAAGTTTCTCAGAATGCTTCCGTGTAGTTCTGGGAAGTTTATCCCGTTTCCAACGAAATCCTCAGAGAAGTCCAAATATCCACTTGCAGATTCTACAGAAAGTGGGTTTGGAAACTGCTCCATCTAAAGGAATGTTCAGCTCTGTTAGTTCAATCCAATGATCACTAAGAATTGTCTGTGAATGCTTCCGTTTGGTTTTTAGATGAAGTTATTTCCTTTACTACAGTAGGCCTCAAAGCAGTCCAAATCTCCAATCGCAGATTCTACAAAAAGATTGTTTACAACCTGCTCTATCTATAGGAATGTTCAACTCTGTGAGTCGAATGCAATCATCACAAAGTAGTTTCTGAGAATGCTTCCATCTAGTTTTTATGTGAAGATTTTCCTTTTCCACCACAGGCCTCAAAGCCCTCCAAATGTCCACTTGCAGATTCTAGAATAAGAGGGTTTCAGAGCTGCTCTGTCAAGAGGAAAGTTCAATTCCTGAAGTGGAACACAAACATCACAAAGCAGTTTCTGAGAATGCTTCTGTTTAGTTTTTCTGTGAAGATGAACCCGTTTCCAACGAAATCTTCACAGAGGTCCACATATCAACTTGCAGAATCCAAAGAAAGAGAGTTTCAAAACTGCTCCATCAACAGGATTGTTCACCTCTGTGAGTTGAATGCAGTCATCACAGGAAACATTCTGAGAATGCTTCTGTCTAGGTTTGATGTGAAGATATACCCGTTTCGAAGGAAGGCCACAAAGTGGTCCAAATATCCACTTGCAGATTCTACAAAAAGAGTGTTTGAAAGCTGAACTATGAAAGCAAGGTTCAACTCTGTGAGTTGAATGCAAACATCACAAAGAAGTTTCTCAGCATGCTTCCGTGTAGTTCTGGGAAGTTTATCCCGTTTCCAACGAAATCCTCAGAGAAGTCCAAATATCCACTTGCAGATTCTACAGAAAGTGTGTTTGGAAACTGCTCCATCTAAAGGAATGTTCAGCTCTGTTAGTTCAATGCAATGATCACTAAGAATTGTCTGTGAATGCTTCCGTTTGGTTTTTAGATGAAGTTATTTCCTTTACTACAGTAGGCCTCAAAGCAGTCCAAATCTCCAATCGCAGATTCTACAAAAAGATTGTTTACAACCTGCTCTGTCGATAGGAATGTTCAACTCTGTGAGTCGAATGCAATCATCACAAAGTAGTTTCTGAGAATGCTTCCATCTAGTTTTTATGTGAAGATTTTCCTTTTCCACCACAGGCCTCAAAGCCCTCCAAATGTCCACTTGCAGATTCTAGAATAAGAGGGTTTCAGAGCTGCTCTGTCAAGAGGAAAGTTCAATTCTTGAAGTGGAACACAAACATCACAAAGCAGTTTCTGAGAATGCTCCTGTTTAGTTTTTCTGTGAAGATGAACCCGTTTCCAACGAAATCTTCACAGAGGTCCACATATCCACTTGCAGAATCCAAAGAAAGAGAGTTTCAAAACTGCTCCATCAGCAGGATTGTTCACCTCTGTGAGTTGAATGCAGTCATCACAGGTAACATTCTGAGAATGCTTCTGTCTAGGTTTGATGTGAAGATATACCCGTTTCGAAGGAAGGCCACAAAGTGGTCCAAATATCCACTTGCAGATTCTACAAAAAGAGTGTTTGAAAGCTGAACTATGAAAGCAAGGTTCAACTCTGTGAGTTGAATGCAAACATCACAAAGAAGTTTCTCACAATGCTTCCGTGTAGTTCTGGGAAGTTTATCCCATTTCCAACGAAATCCTCAGAGAAGTCCAAATATCCACGTGCAGATTCTACAGAAAGTGTGTTTGGAAACTGCGCCATCTAAAGGAATGTTCAGCTCCCTTAGTTCAATCCAATCATCACAAAGAATTTTCTGTGAATGCTTCCGTTTGGTTTTTAGATGAAGTTATTTCCTTTACTACAGTAGGGCTCAAAGCAGTCCAAATCTCCAATCGCAGATTCTACAAAAAGATTGTTTACAACCTGCTCTATCTATAGGAATGTTCAACACTGTGACTCGAATGCAATCATCACAAAGTAGTTTCTGAGAATGCTTCCATCTAGTTTTTATGTGAAGATTTTCGTTTTCCACCACAGGCCTCAAAGCCCTCCAAATGTCCACTTGCAGATTCTAGAATAAGAGGGTTTCAGAGCTGCTCTGTCAAGAGGAAAGTACAATTCCTGAAGTGGAACACAAACATCACAAAGCAGTTTCTGAGAATGCTTCTGTTTAGTTTTTCTGTGAAGATGAACCCGTTTCCAACGAAATCTTCACAGAGGTCCACATATCCACTTGCAGAATCCAAAGAAAGAGAGTTTCAAAACTGCTCCATCAGCAGGATTGTTCACCTCTGTGAGTTGAATGCAGTCATCACAGGAAACATTCTGAGAATGCTTCTGTCTAGGTTTGATGTGAAGATATACCCGTTTCGAAGGAAGGCCACAAAGTGGTCCAAATATCCACTTGCAGATTCTACAAAAAGAGGGTTTGAAAGCTGAACTATGAAAGCAAGGTTCAACTCTGTGAGTTGAATGCAAACATCACAAAGAAGTTTCTCACAATGCTTCCGTGTAGTTCTGGGAAGTTTATCCCGTTTCCAACGAAATCCTCAGAGAGGTCCAAATATCCACTTGCAGATTCTACAGAAAGTGTGTTTGGAAACTGCGCCATCTAAAGGAATGTTCAGCTCTGTTAGTTCAATGCAATGATCACTAAGAATTGTCTGTGAATGCTTCCGTTTGGTTTTTAGATGAAGTTATTTCCTTTACTACAGTAGGCCTCAAAGCAGTCCAAATCTCCAATCGCAGATTCTACAAAAAGATTGTTTACAACCTGCTCTATCTATAGGAATGTTCAACTCTGTGAGTCGAATGCAATCATCACAAAGTAGTTTCTGAGAATGCTTCCATCTAGTTTTTATATGAAGATTTTCCTTTTCCACCACAGGCCTCAAAGCCCTTCAAATGTCCTCTTGCAGATTTTAGAATAAGAGGGTTTCAGAGCTGCTCTGTCAAGAGGAAAGTTCAATTCCTGAAGTGGAACACAAACATCACAAAGCAGTTTCTGAGAATGTTTCTGTTTAGTTTTTCTGTGAAGATGAACCCGTTTCCAACGAAATCTTCACAGAGGTCCACATATCCACTTGCAGAATCCAAAGAAAGAGAGTTTCAAAACTGCTCCATCAGCAGGATTGTTCACCTCTGTGAGTTGAATGCAGTCATCACAGGAAACATTCTGAGAATGCTTCTGTCTAGGTTTGATGTGAAGATATACCCGTTTCGAAGGAAGGCCACAAAGTGGTCCAAATATCCACTTGCAGATTCTACAAAAAGAGTGTTTGAAAGCTGAACTATGAAAGCAAGGTTCAACTCTGTGAGTTGAATGCAAACATCACAAAGAAGTTTCTCAGAATGCTTCCGTGTAGTTCTGGGAAGTTTATCCCGTTTCCAACGAAATCCTCAGAGAGGTCCAAATATCCACTTGCAGATTCTACAGAAAGTGTGTTTGGAATCTGCTCCATCTAAAGGAATGTTCAGCTCTGTTAGTTCAATCCAATGATCACTAAGAATTGTCTGTGAATGCTTCCGTTTGGTTTTTAGATGAAGTTATTTCCTTTACTACAGTAGGCCTCAAAGCAGTCCAAATCTCCAATCGCAGATTCTACAAAAAGATTGTTTTCAACCTGCTCTATCTATAGGAATGTTCAACTCTGTGAGTCGAATGCAATCATCACAAAGTAGTTTCTGAGAATGCTTCCATCTAGTTTTTATGTGAAGATTTTCCTTTTCCACCACAGGCCTCAAAGCCCTCCAAATGTCCACTTGCAGATTCTAGAAAAAGAGGGTTTCAGAGCTGCTCTGTCAAGAGGAAAGTTCAATTCCTGAAGTGGAACACAAACATCACAAAGCAGTTTCTGAGAATGCTTCTGTTTAGTTTTTCTGTGAAGATGAACCCGTTTCCAACGAAATCTTCATAGAGGTCCACATATCCACTTGCAGAATCCAAAGAAAGAGAGTTTCAAAACTGCTCCATCAGAAGGATTGTTCACCTCTGTGAGTTGAATGCAGTCATCACAGGAAACATTCTGAGAATGCTTCTGTCTAGGTTTGATGTGAAGATATACCCGTTTCGAAGGAAGGCCACAAAGTGGTCCAAATATCCACTTGCAGATTCTACAAAAAGAGTGTTTGAAAGCTGAACTATGAAAGCAAGGTTCAACTCTGTGAGTTGAATGCAAACATCACAAAGAAGTTTCTCAGAATGCTTCCGTGTAGTTCTGGGAAGTTTATCCCGTTTCCAACGAAATCCTCAGAGAAGTCCAAATATCCACTTGCAGATTCTACAGAAAGTGTGTTTGGAAACTGCGCCATCTAAGGGAATGTTCAGCTCTGTTAGTTCAATCCAATGATCACTAAGAATTGTCTGTGAATGCTTCCGTTTGGTTTTTAGATGAAGTTATTTCCTTTACTACAGTAGGCCTCAAAGCAGTCCAAATCTCCAATCGCAGATTCTACAAAAAGATTGTTTACAACCTGCTCTATCTATAGGAATGTTCAACTCTGTGAGTCGAATGCAATCATCACAAAGTAATTTCTGAGAATGCTTCCATCTAGTTTTTATGTGAAGATTTTCCTTTTCCACCACAGGCCTCAAAGCCCTCCAAATGTCCACTTGCAGATTCTAGAAAAAGAGGGTTTCAGAGCTGCTCTGTCAAGAGGAAAGTTGAATTCTTGAAGTGGAACACAAACATCACAAAACAGTTTCTGAGAATGGTTCTGTTTAGTTTTTCTGTGAAGATGAACCCGTTTCCAACCAAATCTTCACAGAGGTCCACATATCCACTTGCAGAATCCAAAGAAAGAGAGTTTCAAAACGGCTCCATCAACAGGATTGTTCACCTCTGTGAGTTGAATGCAGTCATCACAGGAAACATTCTGAGAATGCTTCTGTCTAGGTTTGATGTGAAGATATACCCGTTTCGAAGGAAGGCCACAAAGTGGTCCAAATATCCACTTGCAGATTCTACAAAAAGAGTGTTTGAAAGCTGAACTAAGAAAGCAAGGTTCAACTCTGTGAGTTGAATGCAAACATCACAAAGAAGTTTCTCAGAATGCTTCCGTGTAGTTCTGGGAAGTTTATCCCGTTTCCAACGAAATCCTCAGAGAAGTCCAAATATCCACTTGCAGATTCTACAGAAAGTGTGTTTGGAAACTGCTCCATCTAAAGGAATGTTCAGCTCTGTTAGTTCAATCCAATGATCACTAAGAATTGTCTGTGAATGCTTCCGTTTGGTTTTAGATGAAGTTATTTCCTTTACTACAGTAGGCCTCAAAGCAGTCCAAATCTCCAATCGCAGATTCTACAAAAAGATTGTTTACAACCTGCTCTATCTATAGGAATGTTCAACTCTGTGAGTCGAATGCAATCATCACAAAGTAGTTTCTGAGAATGCTTCCATCTAGTTTTTATGTGAAGATTTTCCTTTTCCACCACAGGCCTCAAAGCCCTCCAAATGTCCACTTGCAGATTCTAGAAAAAGAGGGTTTCAGAGCTGCTCTGTCAAGAGGAAAGTTCAATTCTTGAAGTGGAACACAAACATCACAAAGCAGTTTCTGAGAATGCTTCTGTTTAGTTTTTCTGTGAAGATGAACCCGTTTCCAACGAAATCTTCACAGAGGTCCACATATCCACTTGCAGAATCCAAAGAAAGAGAGTTTCAAAACTGCTCCATCAGCAGGATTGTTCACCTCTGTGAGTTGAATGCAGTCATCACAGGAAACATTCTGAGAATGCTTCTGTCTAGGTTTGATGTGAAGATATACCCGTTTCGAAGGAAGGCCACAAAGTGGTCCAAATATCCACTTGCAGATTCTACAAAAAGAGTGTTTGAAAGCTGAACTATGAAAGCAAGGTTCAACTCTGTGAGTTGAATGCAAACATCACAAAGAAGTTTCTCAGAATGCTTCCGTGTAGTTCTGGGAAGTTTATCCCGTTTCCAACGAAATCCTCAGAGAAGTCCAAATATCCACTTGCAGATTCTACAGAAAGTGGGTTTGGAAACTGCTCCATCTAAAGGAATGTTCAGCTCTGTTAGTTCAATCCAATGATCACTAAGAATTGTCTGTGAATGCTTCCGTTTGGTTTTTAGATGAAGTTATTTCCTTTACTACAGTAGGCCTCAAAGCAGTCCAAATCTCCAATAGCAGATTCTACAAAAAGATTGTTTACAACCTGCTCTATCTATAGGAATGTTCAACTCTGTGAGTCGAATGCAATCATCACAAAGTAGTTTCTGAGAATGCTTCCATCTAGTTTTTATGGGAAGATTTTCCTTTTCCACCACAGGCCTCAAAGCCCTCCAAATGTCCACTTGCAGATTCTAGAAAAAGAGGGTTTCAGAGCTGCTCTGTCAAGAGGAAAGTTCAATTCTTCAAGTGGAACACAAACATCACAAAGCAGTTTCTGAGAATGCTCCTGTTAATTTTTCTGTGAAGATGAACCCATTTCCAACGAAATCTTCACAGAGGTCCACATATCCACTTGCAGAATCAAAAGAAAGGGAGTTTGAAAACGGTTCCATCAACAGGATTGTTCACCTCTGTGAGTTGAATGCAGTCATCACAGGAAACATTCTGAGAATGCTTCTGTCTAGGTTTGATGTGAAGATATACCCGTTTCGAAGGAAGGCCACAAAGTGGTCCAAATATCCACTTGCAGATTCTACAAAAAGAGTGTTTGAAAGCTGAACTATGAAAGCAAGGTTCAACTCTGTGAGTTGAATGCAAACATCACAAAGAAGTTTCTCAGAATGCTTCCGTGTAGTTCTGGGAAGTTTATCCCGTTTCCAAAGAAATCCTCAGAGAAGTCCAAATATCCACTTGCAGATTCTACAGAAAGTGTGTTTGTAAACTGCTCTATCTAAAGGAATGTTCAGCTCTGTTTGTTCAATCCAATGATCACTAAGTATTGTCTGTGAATGCTTCCATTTGGTTTTTAGATGAAGTTATTTCCTTTACTACAGTAGGCCTCAAAGCAGTCCAAATCTCCAATCGCAGATTCTACAAAAAGATTGTTTACAACCTGCTCTATCTATAGGAATGTTCAACTCTGTGAGTCGAATGCAATCATCACAAAGTAGTTCCTGAGAATGCTTCCATCTAGTTTTTATGTGAAGATTTTCCTTTTCCACCACAGGCCTCAAAGCCCTCCAAATGTCCACTTGCAGATTCTAGAATAAGAGGGTTTCAGAGCTGCTCTGTCAAGAGGAAAGTTCAATTCCTGAAGTCGAACACAGACATCACACAGCAGTTTCTGAGTATGCTTCTGTTTAGTTTTTCTGTGAAGATGAACCCGTTTCCAACGAAATCTTCACAGAGGTCCACATATCCACTTGCAGAATTCAAAGAAAGAGAGTTTCAAAACTCCTCCATCAGCAGGATTGTTCACCTCTGTGAGTTGAATGCAGTCATCACAGGAAACATTCTGAGAATGCTTCTGTCTAGGTTTGATGTGAAGATATACCCGTTTCGAAGGAAGGCCACAAAGTGGTCCAAATATCCACTTGCAGATTCTACAAAAAGAGTGTTTGAAAGCTGAACTATGAAAGCAAGGTTCAACTCTGTGAGTTGAATGCAAACATCACAAATAAGTTTCTCAGCATGCTTCCGTGTAGTTCTGGGAAGTTTATCCCGTTTCCAACGAAATCCTCAGAGAGGTCCAAATATCCACTTGCAGATTCTACAGAAAGTGGGTTTGGAAACTGCGCCATCTAAAGGAATGTTCAGCTCTGTTAGTTCAATGCAATGATCACTAAGAATTGTCTGTGAATGCTTCCGTTTGGTTTTTAGATGAAGTTATTTCCTTTACTACAGTAGGCCTCAAAGCAGTCCAAATCTCCAATCGCAGATTCTACAAAAAGATTGTTTACAACCTGCTCTATCTATAGGAATGTTCAACTCTGTGAGTCGAATGCAATCATCACAAAGTAGTTTCTGAGAATGCTTCCATCTAGTTTTTATGTGAAGATTTTCCTTTTCCACCACAGGCCTCAAAGCCCTCCAAATGTCCACTTGCAGATTCTAGAAAAAGAGGGTTTTAGAGCTGCTCTGACAAGAGGAAAGTTCAATTCCTGAAGTGGAACACAAACATCACAAAGCAGTTTCTGAGAATGCTTCTGTTTAGTTTTTCTGTGAAGATGAACCCGTTTCCAACGAAATCTTCACAGAGGTCCACATATCCACTTGCAGAATCCAAAGAAAGAGAGTTTCAAAACTGCTCCATCAACAGGATTGTTCACCTCTGTGAGTTGAATGCAGTCATCACAGGAAACATTCTGAGAATGCTTCTGTCTAGGTTTGATGTGAAGATATACCCGTTTCGAAGGAAGGCCACAAAGTGGTCCAAATATCCACTTGCAGATTCTACAAAAAGAGTGTTTGAAAGCTGAACTATGAAAGCAAGGTTCAACTCTGTGAGTTGAATGCAAACATCACAAAGAAGTTTCTCAGAATGCTTCCGTGTAGTTCTGGGAAGTTTATCCCGTTTCCAACGAAATCCTCAGAGAAGTCCAAATATCCACTTGCAGATTCTACAGAAAGTGTGTTTGGAAACTGCTCCATCTAAAGGAATGTTCAGCTCTGTTAGTTCAATCCAATGATCACTAAGAATTGTCTGTGAATGCTTCCGTTTGGTTTTTAGATGAAGTTATTTCCTTTACTACAGTAGGCCTCGAAGCAGTCCAAATCTCCAATCGCAGATTCTACAAAAAGATTGTTTACAACCTGCTCTATCTATAGGAATGTTCAACTCTGTGAGTCGAATGCAATCATCACAAAGTAGTTTCTGAGAATGCTTCCATCTAGTTTTTATGTGAAGATTTTCCTTTTCCACCACAGGCCTCAAAGCCCTCCAAATGTCCACTTGCAGATTCTAGAATAAGAGGGTTTCAGAGCTGCTCTGTCAAGAGGAAAGTTCAATTCCTGAAGTGGAACACAAACATCACAAAGCAGTTTCTGAGAATGCTTCTGTTTAGTTTTTCTGGGAAGATGAACCCGTTTCCAACGAAATCTTCACAGAGGACCACATATTCACTTGCAGAATCCAAAGAAGGAGAGTTTCAAAACTGCTCCATCAGCAGGATTGTTCACCTCTGTGAGTTGAATGCAGTCATCACAGGAAACATTCTGAGAATGCTTCTGTCTAGGTTTGATGTGAAGATATACCCGTTTCGAAGGAAGACCACAAATGGTCCAAATATCCACTTGCAGATTCTACAAAAAGAGTGTTTGAAAGCTGAACTATGAAAGCAAGGTTCAACTCTGTGTGTTGAATGCAAACTTCACAAAGAAGTTTCTCAGAATGCTTCCGTGTAGTTCTGGGAAGTTTATCCCGTTTCCAACGAAATCCTCAGAGAAGTCCAAATATCCACTTGCAGATTCTACAGAAAGTGTGTTTGGAAACTGCTCCATCTAAAGGAGTGTTCAGCTCTGTTACTTCAATCCAATGATCACTAAGAATTGTCTGTGAATGCTTCCGTTTGGTTTTTAGATGAATTTATTTCCTTTACTACAGTAGGCCTCAAAGCAGTCCAAATCTCCAATCGCAGATTCTACAAAAAGATTGTTTACAACCTGCTCTATCTATAGGAATGTTCAACTCTGTGAGTCGAATGCAATCATCACAAAGTAGTTTCTGAGAATGCTTCCATCTAGTTTTTATGTGAAGATTTTCCTTTTCCACCACAGGCCTCAAAGCCCTCCAAATGTCCACTTGCAGATTCTAGAAAAAGAGGGTTTCAGAGCTGCTCTGTCAAGAGGAAAGTTCAATTCCTGAAGTGGAACACAAACATCACAAAGCAGTTTCTGAGAATGCTTCTGTTTTCTTTTTCTGTGAAGATGAACCCGTTTCCAACGAAATCTTCACAGAGGTCCACATATCCACTTGCAGAATCCAAAGAAGGAGAGTTTCAAAACTGCTCCATCAGCAGGATTGTTCACCTCTGTGAGTTGAATGCAGTCATCACAGGAAACATTCTGAGAATGCTTCTGTCTAGGTTTGATGTGAAGATATACCCGTTTCGAAGGAAGGCCACAAAGTGGTCCAAATATCCACTTGCAGATTCTACAAAAAGAGTGTTTGAAAGCTGAACTATGAAAGCAAGGTTCAACTCTGTGAGTTGAATGCAAACATCACAAAGAAGTTTCTCAGAATGCTTCCGTGTAGTTCTGGGAAGTTTATCCCGTTTCCAACGAAATCCTCAGAGAAGTCCAAATATCCAGTTGCAGATTCTACAGAAAGTGTGTTTGGAAACTGCTCCATCTAAAGGAATGTTCAGCTCTGTTAGTTCAATCCAATGATCACTAAGAATTGTCTGTGAATGCTTCCGTTTGGTTTTTAGATGAAGTTTTTTCCTTTACTACAGTAGGCCCCAAAGCACTCCAAATCTCCAATCGCAGATTCTACAAAAAGATTGTTTACAACCTGCTCTATCTATAGGAATGTTCAACTCTGTGAGTCGAATGCAATCATCACAAAGTAGTTTACTGAGAATGCTTCCATCTAGTTTTTATGTGAAGATTTTCCTTTTCCACCACAGGCCTCAAAGCCCTCCAAATGTCCACTTGCAGATTCTAGAAAAAGAGGGTTTCAGAGCTGCTCTGTCAAGAGGAAAGTTCAATTCTTGAAGTGGAACACAAACATCACAAAGCAGTTTCTGAGAATGTTTCTGTTTAGTTTTTCTGTGAAGATGAACCCGTTTCCAACGAAATCTTCACAGAGGTCCACATATCCACTTGCAGAATCCAAAGAAAGAGAGTTTCAAAACTGCTCCATCAGCAGGATTGTTCACCTCTGTGAGTTGAATGCAGTCATCACAGGAAACATTCTGAGAATGCTTCTGTCTAGGTTTGATGTGAAGATATAACCGTTTCGAAGGAAGGCCACAAAGTGGTCCAAATATCCCCTTGCAGATTCTACAAAAAGAGTGTTTGAAAGCTGAACTATGAAAGCAAGGTTCAACTCTGTGAGTTGAATGCAAACATCGCAAAGAAGTTTCTCAGAATGCTTCCGTGTAGTTCTGGGAAGTTTATCCCGTTTCCAACGAAATCCTCAGAGAGGTCCAAATATCCACTTGCAGATTCTACAGAAAGTGTGTTTGGAAACTGCGCCATCTAAGGGAATGTTCAGCTTTGTTAGTTCAATCCAATGATCACTAAGAATTGTCTGTGAATGCTTCCGTTTGGTTTTTAGATGAAGTTATTTCCTTTACTACAGTAGGCCTCAAAGCAGTCCAAATCTCCAATCGCAGATTATACAAAAAGATTGTTTACAACCTGCTCTATCTATAGGAATGTTCAACTCTGTGAGTCGAATGCAATCATCACAAAGTACTTTCTGAGAATGCTTCCATCTAGTTTTTATGTGAAGATTTTCCTTTTCCACCACAGGCCTCAAAGCCCTCCAAATGTCCACTTGCAGATTCTAGAATAAGAGGGTTTCAGAGCTGCTCTGTCAAGAGGAAAGTTCAATTCCTGAAGTGGAACACAAACATCACAAAGCAGTTTCTGAGAATGCTTCTGTTTAGTTTTTCTGTGAAGATGAACCCGTTTCCAACGAAATCTTCACAGAGGTCCACATATCCGCTTGCAGAATCCAAAGAAAGAGAGTTTCAAAACTGCTCCATCAGCAGGATTCTTCACCTCTGTGAGTTGAATGCAGTCATCACAGGAAACATTCTGAGAATGCTTCTGTCTAGGTTTGATGTGAAGATATACCCGTTTCGAAGGAAGGCCACAAAGTGGTCCAAATATCCACTTGCAGATTCTACAAAAAGAGTGTTTGAAAGCTGAACTATGAAAGCAAGGTTCAACTCTGTGAGTTGAATGCAAACATCACAAAGAAGTTTCTCAGAATGCTTCCCTGTAGTTCTGGGAAGTTTATCCCGTTTCCAACGAAATCCTCAGAGAAGTCCAAATATCCACTTGCAGATTCTACAGAAAGTGTGTTTGGAAACTGCTCCATCTAAAGGAATGTTCAGCTCTGTTAGTTCAATGCAATGATCACTAAGAATTGTCTGTGAATGCTTCCGTTTGGTTTTTAGATGAAGTTATTTCCTTTACTACAGTAGGCCTCAAAGCAGTCCAAATCTCCAATCGCAGATTCTACAAAAAGATTGTTTACAACCTGCTCTATCTATAGGAATGTTCAACTCTGTGAGTCGAATGCAATCATCACAAAGTAGTTTCTGAGAATGCTTCCATCTAGTTTTTATGTGAAGATTTTCCTTTTCCACCACAGGCCTCAAAGCCCTCCAAATGTCCACTTGCAGATTCTAGAAAAAGAGGGTTTCAGAGCTGCTCTGTCAAGAGGAAAGTTCAATTCCTGAAGTGGAACACAAACATCACAAAGCAGTTTCTGAGAATGCTTCTGTTTAGTTTTTCTGTGAAGATGAACCCGTTTCCAACGAAATCTTCACAGAGGTCCACATATCCACTTGCAGAATCCAAAGAAAGAGAGTTTCAAAACTGCTCCATCAGCAGGATTGTTCACCTCTGTGAGTTGAATGCAGTCATCACAGGAAACATTCTGAGAATGCTTCTGTCTAGGTTTGATGTGAAGATATACCCGTTTCGAAGGAAGGCCACAAAGTGGTCCAAATATCCACTTGCAGATTCTACAAAAAGAGTGTTTGAAAGCTGAACTAAGAAAGCAAGGTTCCACTCTGTGAGTTGAATGCAAACATCACAAAGAAGTTTCTCAGAATGCTTCCGTGTAGTTCTGGGAAGTTTATCCCGTTTCCAACGAAATCCTCAGAGAAGTCCAAATATCCACTTGCAGATTCTACAGAAAGTGTGTTTGGAAACTGCGCCATCTAAAGGAATGTTCAGCTCTGTTAGTTCAATGCAATGATCACTAAGAATTGTCTGTGAATGCTTCCGTTTGGTTTTTAGATGAAGTTATTTCCTTTACTACAGTAGGCCTCAAAGCAGTCCAAATCTCCAATCGCAGATTCTACAAAAAGATTGTTTACAACCTGCTCTATCTATAGGAATGTTCAACTCTGTGAGTCGAATGCAATCATCACAAAGTAGTTTCTGAGATGCTTCCATCTAGTTTTTATGTGAAGATTTTCCTTTTCCACCACAGGCCTCAAAGCCCTCCAAATGTCCACTTGCAGATTCTAGAATAAGAGGGTTTCAGAGCTGCTCTGTCAAGAGGAAAGTTCAATTCCTGGAGTGGAACACAAACATCACAAAGCAGTTTCTGAGAATGCTTCTGTTTAGTTTTTCTGTGAAGATGAACCCGTTTCCAACGAAATCTTCACAGAGGTCCACATATCCACTTGCAGAATCCAAAGAAAGAGAGTTTCAAAACTGCTCCATCAGCAGGATTGTTCACCTCTGTGAGTTGAATGCAGTCATCACAGGAAACATTCTGAGAATGCTTCTGTCTAGGTTTGATGTGAAGATATACCCGTTTCGAAGGAAGGCCAGAAAGTGGTCCAAATATCCACTTGCAGATTCTACAAAAAGAGTGTTTGAAAGCTGAACTATGAAAGCAAGGTTCAACTCTGTGAGTTGAATGCAAACATCACAAAGAAGTTTCTCAGAATGCTTCCGTGTAGTTCTGGGAAGTTTATCCCGTTTCCAACGAAATCCTCAGAGAGGTCCAAATATCCACTTGCAGATTCTACAGAAAGTGTGTTTGGAAACTGCGCCATCTAAGGGAATGTTCAGCTCTGTTAGTTCAATCCAATGATCACTAAGAATTGTCTGTGAATGCTTCCGTTTGGTTTTTAGATGAAGTTATTTCCTTTACTACAGTAGGCCTCAAAGCAGTCCAAATCTCCAATCGCAGACTCTACAAAAAGATTGTTTACAACCTGCTCTATCTATAGGAATGTTCAACTCTGTGAGTCGAATGCAGTCATCACAAAGTAGTTTCTGAGAATGCTTCCATCTAGTTTTTATGTGAAGATTTTCCTTTTCCACCACAGGCCTCAAAGCCCTCCAAATGTCCACTTGCAGATTCTAGAAAAAGAGGGTTTCAGAGCTGCTCTGTCAAGAGGAAAGTTCAATTCTTGAAGTGGAACACAAACATCACAAAGCAGTTTCTGAGAATGCTTCTGTTTAGTTTTTCTGTGAAGATGAACCCGTTTCCAACGAAATCTTCACAGAGGTCCACATATCAACTTGCAGAATCCAAAGAAAGAGAGTTTCAAAACTGCTCCATCAACAGGATTGTTCACCTCTGTGAGTTGAATGCAGTCATCACAGGAAACATTCTGAGAATGCTTCTGTCTAGGTTTGATGTGAAGATATACCCGTTTCGAAGGAAGGCCACAAAGTGGTCCAAATATCCACTTGCAGATTCTACAAAAAGAGTGTTTGAAAGCTGAACTATGAAAGCAAGGTTCAACTCTGTGAGTTGAATGCAAACATCACAAAGAAGTTTCTCAGAATGCTTCCGTGTAGTTCTGGGAAGTTTATCCCGTTTCCAACGAAATCCTCAGAGAAGTCCAAATATCCACTTGCAGATTCTACAGAAAGTGTGTTTGGAAACTGCGCCATCTAAAGGAATGTTCAGCTCTGTTAGTTCAATGCAATGATCACTAAGAATTGTCTGTGAATGCTTCCGTTTGGTTTTTAGATGAAGTTATTTCCTTTACTACAGTAGGCCTCAAAGCAGTCCAAATCTCCAATCGCAGATTCTACAAAAAGATTGTTTACAACCTGCTCTATCTATAGGAATGTTCAACTCTGTGAGTCGAATGCAATCATCACAAAGTAGTTTCTGAGAATGCTTCCATCTAGTTTTTATGTGAAGATTTTCCTTTTCCACCACAGGCCTCAAAGCCCTCCAAATGTCCACTTGCAGATTCTAGAAAAAGAGGGTTTCAGAGCTGCTCTGTCAAGAGGAAAGTTCAATTCCTGAAGTGGAACGCAAACATCACAAAGCAGTTTCTGAGAATGCTCCTGTTTAGTTTTTCTGTGAAGATGAACCCGTTTCCAACGAAATCTTCACAGAGGTCCACATATCCACTTGCAGAATCCAAAGAAAGAGAGTTTCAAAACTGCTCCATCAACAGGATTGTTCACCTCTGTGAGTTGAATGCAGTCATCACAGGAAACATTCTGAGAATGCTTCTGTCTAGGTTTGATGTGAAGATATACCCGTTTCGAAGGAAGGCCACAAAGTGGTCCAAATATCCACTTGCAGATTCTACAAAAAGAGTGTTTGAAAGCTGAACTATGAAAGCAAGGTTCAACTCTGTGAGTTGAATGCAAACATCACAAAGAAGTTTCTCAGAATGCTTCCGTGTAGTTCTGGGAAGTTTATCCCGTTTCCAACGAAATCCTCAGAGAGGTCCAAATATCCACTTGCAGATTCTACAGAAAGTGTGTTTGGAAACTGCGCCATCTAAGGGAATGTTCAGCTCTGTTAGTTCAATCCAATGATCACTAAGAATTGTCTGTGAATGCTTCCGTTTGGTTTTTAGATGAAGTTATTTCCTTTACTACAGTAGGCCTCAAAGCAGTCCAAATCTCCAATCGCAGATTCTACAAAAAGACTGTTTACAACCTGCTCTATCTATAGGAATGTTCAACTCTGTGAGTCGAATGCAATCATCACAAAGTAGTTTCTGAGAATGCTTCCATCTAGTTTTTATGTGAAGATTTTCCTTTTCCACCACAGGCCTCAAAGCCCTCCAAATGTCCACTTGCAGATTCTAGAAAAAGAGGGTTTCAGAGCTGCTCTGTCAAGAGGAAAGTTCAATTCCTGAAGTGGAACACAAACATCACAAAGCAGTTTCTGAGAATGCTTCTGTTTAGTTTTTCTGTGAAGAAGAACCCGTTTCCAACGAAATCCTCAAAGAGGTCCACATATCCACTTGCAGAATACAAAGAAAGAGAGTTTCAAAACTGCTCCATCATCAGAATTGTTCACCTCTGTGAGTTGAATGCAGTCATCACAGGAAACATTCTGAGAATGCTTCTGTCTAGGTTTGATGTGAAGATATACCCTTTTCAAAGGAAGGCCACAAAGTGGTCCAAATATCCACTTGCAGATTCTACAAAAAGAGTGTTTGAAAGCTGAACTATGAAAGCAAGGTTCAACTCTGTGAGTTGAATGCAAACATCACAAAGAAGTTTCTCACAATGCTTCCGTGTAGTTCTGGGAAGTTTATCCCGTTTCCAACGAAATCCTCAGAGAAGTCCAAATATCCACTTGCAGATTCTACAGAAAGTGGGTTTGGCAACTGCTCCATCTAAAGGAATGTTCAGCTCTGTTAGTTCAATGCAATGATCACTAAGAATTGTCTGTGAATGCTTCCGTTTGGTTTTTAGATGAAGTTATTTCCTTTACTACAGTAGGCCTCAAAGCAATCCAAATCTCCAATCGCAGATTCTACAAAAACATTGTTTACAACCTGCTCTATCTATAGGAATGTTCAACTCTGTGAGTCGAATGCAATCATCACAAAGTAGTTTCTGAGAATGCTTCCATCTAGTTTTTATGTGAAGATTTTCCTTTTCCACCACAGGCCTCAAAGCCCTCCAAATGTCCACTTGCAGATTCTAGAAAAAGAGGGTTTCAGAGCTGCTCTGTCAAGAGGAAAGTTCAATTCTTGATGTGGAACACAAACATCACAAAGCAGTTTCTGAGAATGCTCCTGTTTAGTTTTTCTGTGAAGATGAACCCGTTTCCAACGAAATCTTCACAGAGGTCCACATATCCACTTGCAGAATCCAAAGAAAGAGAGTTTCAAAACTGCTCCATCAGCAGGATTGTTCACCTCTGTGAGTTGAATGCAGTCATCACAGGAAACATTCTGAGAATGCTTCTGTCTAGGTTTGATGTGAAGATATACCCGTTTCGAAGGAAGGCCACAAAGTGGTCCAAATATCCACTTGCAGATTCTACAAAAAGAGTGTTTGAAAGCTGAACTATGAAAGCAAGGTTCAACTCTGTGAGTTGAATGCAAACATCACAAAGAAGTTTCTCAGAATGCTTCCGTGTAGTTCTGGGAAGTTTATCCCGTTTCCAACGAAATCCTCAGAGAAGTCCAAATATCCACTTGCAGATTCTACAGAAAGTGTGTTTGGAAACTGCTCCACCTAAAGGAATGTTCAGCTCTGTTAGTTCAATCCAATGATCACTAAGAATTGTCTGTGAATGCTTCCGTTTGGTTTTTAGATGAAGTTATTTCCTTTACTACAGTAGGCCTCAAAGCAGTCCAAATCTCCAATCGCAGATTCTACAAAAACATTGTTTACAACCTGCTCTATCTATAGGAATGTTCAACTCTGTGAGTCGAATGCAATCATCACAAAGTAGTTTCTGAGAATGCTTCCATCTAGTTTTTATGTGAAGATTTTCCTTTTCCACCACAGGCCTCAAAGCCCTCCAAATGTCCACTTGCAGATTCTAGAAAAAGAGGGTTTCAGAGCTGCTCTGTCAAGAGGAAAGTTCAATTCTTGAAGTGGAACACAAACATCACAAAGCAGTTTCTGAGAATGCTTCTGTTTAGTTTTTCTGTGAAGATGAACCCGTTTCCAACGAAATCTTCACAGAGGTCCACATATCCACTTGCAGAATCCAAAGAAAGAGAGTTTCAAAACTGCTCCATCAGCAGGATTGTTCACCTCTGTGAGTTGAATGCAGTCATCACAGGAAACATTCTGAGAATGCTTCTGTCTAGGTTTGATGTGAAGATATACCCGTTTCGAAGGAAGGCCACAAAGTGGTCCAAATATCCACTTGCAGATTCTACAAAAAGAGTGTTTGAAAGCTGAACTATGAAAGCAAGGTTCAACTCTGTGAGTTGAATGCAAACATCACAAAGAAGTTTCTCAGAATGCTTCCGTGTAGTTCTGGGAAGTTTATCCCGTTTCCAACGAAATCCTCAGAGAAGTCCAAATATCCACTTGCAGATTCTACAGAAAGTGTGTTTGGAAACTGCGCCATCTAAAGGAATGTTCAGCTCTGTTAGTTCAATGCAATGATCACTAAGAATTGTCTGTGAATGCTTCCGTTTGGTTTTTAGATGAAGTTATTTCCTTTACTACAGTAGGCCTCAAAGCAGTCCAAATCTCCAATCGCAGATTCTACAAAAAGATTGTTTACAACCTGCTCTATCTATAGGAATGTTCAACTCTGTGAGTCGAATGCAATCATCACAAAGTAGTTTCTGAGAATGCTTCCATCTAGTTTTTATGTGAAGATTTTCCTTTTCCACCACAGGCCTCAAAGCCCTCCAAATGTCCACTTGCAGATTCTAGAATAAGAGGGTTTCAGAGCTGCTCTGTCAAGAGGAAAGTTCAATTCCTGAAGTGGAACACAAACATCACAAAGCAGTTTCTGAGAATGCTTCTGTTTAGTTTTTCTGTGAAGATGAACCCGTTTCCAACGAAATCTTCACAGAGGTCCACATATCCACTTGCAGAATCCAAAGAAAGAGAGTTTCAAAACTGCTCCATCAGCAGGATTGTTCACCTCTGTGAGTTGAATGCAGTCATCACAGGAAACATTCTGAGAATGCTTCTGTCTAGGTTTGATGTGAAGATATACCCGTTTCGAAGGAAGGCCACAAAGTGGTCCAAATATCCACTTGCAGATTCTACAAAAAGAGTGTTTGAAAGCTGAACTATGAAAGCAAGGTTCAACTCTGTGAGTTGAATGCAAACATCACAAAGAAGTTTCTCAGAATGCTTCCGTGTAGTTCTGGGAAGTTTATCCCGTTTCCAACGAAATCCTCAGAGAAGTCCAAATATCCACTGGCAGATTCTACAGAAAGTGGGTTTGGAAACTGCTCCATCTAAAGGAATGTTCAGCTCTGTTAGTTCAATCCAATGATCACTAAGAATTGTCTGTGAATGCTTCCGTTTGGTTTTTAGATGAAGTTATTTCCTTTACTACAGTAGGCCTCAAAGCAGTCCAAATCTCCAATCGCAGATTCTACAAAAAGATTGTTTACAACCTGCTCTATCTATAGGAATGTTCAACTCTGTGAGTCGAATGCAATCATCACAAAGTAGTTTCTGAGAATGCTTCCATCTAGTTTTTATGTGAAGATTTTCCTTTTCCACCACAGGCCTCAAAGCCCTCCAAATGTCCACTTGCAGATTCTAGAATAAGAGGGTTTCAGAGCTGCTCTGTCAAGAGGAAAGTTCAATTCCTGAAGTGGAACACAAACATCACAAAGCAGTTTCTGAGAATGCTTCTGTTTAGTTTTTCTGTGAAGATGAACCCGTTTCCAACGAAATCTACACAGAGGTCCACATATCCACTTGCAGAATCCAAAGAAAGAGAGTTTCAAAACTGCTCCATGAGCAGGATTGTTCACATCTGTGAGTTGAATGCAGTCATCACAGGAAACATTCTGAGAATGCTTCTGTCTAGGTTTGATGTGAAGATATACCCGTTTCGAAGGAAGGCCACAAAGTGGTCCAAATATCCACTTGCAGATTCTACAAAAAGAGTGTTTGAAAGCTGAACTATGAAAGCAAGGTTCAACTCTGTGAGTTGAATGCAAACATCACAAAGAAGTTTCTCACAATGCTTCCGTGTAGTTCTGGGAAGTTTATCCCGTTTCCAACGAAATCCTCAGAGAAGTCCAAATATCCACTTGCAGATTCTACAGAAAGTGTGTTTGGAAACTGCTCCATCTACAGGAATGTTCAGCTCTGTTAGTTCAATCCAATGATCACTAAGAATTGTCTGTGAATGCTTCCGTTTGGTTTTTAGATGAAGTTATTTCCTTTACTACAGTAGGCCTCAAAGCAGTCCAAATCTCCAATCGCAGATTCTACAAAAAGATTGTTTACAACCTGCTCTATCTATAGGAATGTTCAACTCTGTGAGTCGAATGCAATCATCACAAAGTAGTTTCTGAGAATGCTTCCATCTAGTTTTTATGTGAAGATTTTCCTTTTCCACCACAGGCCTCAAAGCCCTCCAAATGTCCACTTGCAGATTCTAGAATAAGAGGGTTTCAGAGCTGCTCTGTCAAGAGGAAAGTTCAATTCCTGAAGTGGAACACAAACATCACAAAGCAGTTTCTGAGAATGCTTCTGTTTAGTTTTTCTGTGAAGATGAACCCGTTTCCAACGAAATCTTCACAGAGGTCCACATATCCACTTGCAGAATCCAAAGAAAGAGAGTTTCAAAACTGCTCCATCAGCAGGATTGTTCACCTCTGTGAGTTGAATGCAGTCATCACAGGAAACATTCTGAGAATGCTTCTGTCTAGGTTTGATGTGAAGATATACCCGTTTCGAAGGAAGGCCACAAAGTGGTCCAAATATCCACTTGCAGATTCTACAAAAAGAGTGTTTGAAAGCTGAACTATGAAAGCAAGGTTCAACTCTGTGAGTTGAATGCAAACATCACAAAGAAGTTTCTCAGAATGCTTCCGTGTAGTTCTGGGAAGTTTATCCCGTTTCCAACGAAATCCTCAGAGAAGTCCAAATATCCACTTGCAGATTCTACAGAAAGTGTGTTTGGAAACTGCGCCATCTAAAGGAATGTTCAGCTCTGTTAGTTCAATGCAATGATCACTAAGAATTGTCTGTGAATGCTTCCGTTTGGTTTTTAGATGAAGTTATTTCCTTTACTACAGTAGGCCTCAAAGCAGTCCAAATCTCCAATCGCAGATTCTACAAAAAGATTGTTTACAACCTGCTCTATCTATAGGAATGTTCAACTCTGTGAGTCGAATGCAATCATCACAAAGTAGTTTCTGAGAATGCTTCCATCTAGTTTTTATGGGAAGATTTTCCTTTTCCACCACAGGCCTCAAAGCCCTCCAAATGTCCACTTGCAGATTCTAGAAAAAGAGGGTTTCAGAGCTGCTCTGTCAAGAGGAAAGTTCAATTCTTGAAGTGGAACACAAACATCACAAAGCAGTTTCTGAGAATGCTCCTGTTTAGTTTTTCTGTGAAGATGAACCTGTTTCCAACGAAATCTTCACAGAGGTCCACATATCCACTTGCAGAATCCAAAGAAAGAGAGTTTCAAAACTGCTCCATAAGCAGGATTGTTCACCTCTGTGAGTTGAATGCAGTCATCACAGGAAACATTCTGAGAATGCTTCTGTCTAGGTTTGATGTGAAGATATACCCGTTTCGAAGGAAGGCCACAAAGTGGTCCAAATATCCACTTGCAGATTCTACAAAAAGAGTGTTTGAAAGCTGAACTATGAAAGCAAGGTTCAACTCTGTGAGTTGAATGCAAACATCACAAAGAAGTTTCTCACAATGCTTCCGTGTAGTTCTGGGAAGTTTATCCCGTTTCCAACGAAATCCTCAGAGAAGTCCAAATATCCACTTGCAGATTCTACAGAAAGTGTGTTTGGAAAATGTTCCATCTAAAGGAATGTTCAGCTCTGTTAGTTCAATGCAATGATCACTAAGAATTGTCTGTGAATGCTTCCGTTTGGTTTTTAGATGAAGTTATTTCCTTTACTACAGTAGGCCTCAAAGCAGTCCAAATCTCCAATCGCAGATTCTACAAAAAGATTGTTTACAACCTGCTCTATGTATAGGAATGTTCAACTCTGTGAGTCAAATGCAATCATCACAAAGTAGTTTCTGAGAATGCTTCCATCTAGTTTTTATGTGAAGATTTTCCTTTTCCACCACAGGCCTCAAAGCCCTCCAAATGTCCACTTGCAGATTCTAGAATAAGAGGGTTTCAGAGCTGCTCTGTCAAGAGGAAAGTTCAATTCCTGAAGTGGAACACAAACATCACAAAGCAGTTTCTGAGAATGCTCCTGTTTAGTTTTTCTGTGAAGATGAACCCGTTTCCAACGAAATCTTCACAGAGGTCCACATATCCACTTGCAGAATCCAAAGAAAGAGAGTTTCAAAACTGCTCCATCAGCAGGATTGTTCACCTCTGTGAGTTGAATGCAGTCATCACAGGAAACATTCTGAGAATGCTTCTGTCTAGGTTAGATGTGAAGATATATCCGTTTCGAAGGAAGGCCAAAAAGTGGTCCAAATATCCACTTGCAGATTCTACAAAAAGAGTGTTTGAAAGCTGAACTATGAAAGCAAGGTTCAACTCTGTGAGTTGAATGCAAACATCACAAAGAAGTTTCTCACAATACTTCCGTGTAGTTCTGGGAAGTTTATCCCGTTTCCAAAGAAATCCTCAGAGAGGTCCAAATATCCACTTGCAGATTCTACAGAAAGTGTGTTTGGAAACTGCTCCATCTAAAGGAATGTTCAGCTCTGTTAGTTCAATCCAATGATCACTAAGAATTGTCTGTGAATGCTTCCGTTTGGTTTTAGATGAAGTTATTTCCTTTACTACAGTAGGCCTCAAAGCAGTCCAAATCTCCAATCGCAGATTCTTGAAAAAGATTGTTTACAACCTGCTCTATCTATAGGAATGTTCAACTCTGTGAGTCGAATGCAATCATCACAAAGTAGTTTCTGAGAATGCTTCCATCTAGTTTTTATGTGAAGATTTTCCTTTTCCACCACAGGCCTCAAAGCCCTCCAAATGTCCACTTGCAGATTCTAGAATAAGAGGGTTTCAGAGCTGCTCTGTCAAGAGGAAAGTTCAATTCTTGAAGTGGAACACAAACATCACAAAGCAGTTTCTGAGAATGCTTCTGTTTAGTTTTTCTGTGAAGATGAACCCGTTTCCAACGAAATCTACACAGAGGTCCACATATCCACTTGCAGAATCCAAAGAAAGAGAGTTTCAAAACTGCTCCATCAGCAGGATTGTTCACCTCTGTGAGTTGAATGCAGTCATCACAGGAAACATTCTGAGAATGCTTCTGTCTAGGTGTGATGTGAAGATATACCCGTTTCGAAGGAAGGCCACAAAGTGGTCCAAATATCCACTTGCAGATTCTACAAAAAGAGTGTTTGAAAGCTGAACTATGAAAGCAAGGTTCAACTCTGTGAGTTGAATGCAAACATCACAAAGAAGTTTCTCAGAATGCTTCCGTGTAGTTCTGGGAAGTTTATCCCGTTTCCAACGAAATCCTCAGAGAGGTCCAAATATCCACTTGCAGATTCTACAGAAAGTGTGTTTGGAAACTGCGCCATCTAAAGGAATGTTCAGCTCTGTTAGTTCAATGCAATGATCACTAAGAATTGTCTGTGAATGCTTCCATTTTGGTTTTTAGATGAAGTTATTTCCTTTACTACAGTAGGCCTCAAAGCAGTCCAAATCTCCAATCGCAGATTCTACAAAAAGATTGTTTACAACCTGCTCTATCTATAGGAATGTTCAACTCTGTGAGTCGAATGCAATCATCACAAAGTAGTTTCTGAGAATGCTTCCATCTAGTTTTTATGTGAAGATTTTACTTTTCCACCACAGGCCTCAAAGCCCTCCAAATGTCCACTTGCAGATTCTAGAAAAAGAGGGTTTCAGAGCTGCTCTGTCAAGAGGAAAGTTCAATTCCTGAAGTGGAACACAAACATCACAAAGCAGTTTCTGAGAATGCTTCTGTTTAGTTTTTCTGTGAAGATGAACCCGTTTCCAACGAAATCTTCACAGAGGTCCACATATCCACTTGCAGAATCCAAAGAAAGAGAGTTTCAAAACTGCTCCATCAGCAGGATTGTTCACCTCTGTGAGTTGAATGCAGTCATCACAGGAAACATTCTGAGAATGCTTCTGTCTAGGTTTGATGTGAAGATATACCCGTTTCGAAGGAAGGCCACAAAGTGGTCCAAATATCCACTTGCAGATTCTACAAAAAGAGTGTTTGAAAGCTGAACTATGAAAGCAAGGTTCAACTCTGTGAGTTGAATGCAAACATCACAAAGAAGTTTCTCCCAATGCTTCCGTGTAGTTCTGGGAAGTTTATCCCGTTTCCAACGAAATCCTCAGAGAAGTCCAAATATCCACTTGCAGATTCTACAGAAAGTGTGTTTGGAAACTGCTCCATCTAAAGGAATGTTCAGCTCTGTTAGTTCAATCCAATGATCACTAAGAATTGTCTGTGAATGCTTCCGTTTGGTTTTTAGATGAAGTTATTTCCTTTACTACAGTAGGCCTCAAAGCAGTCCAAATCTCCAATCGCAGATTCTACAAAAAGATTGTTTACAACCTGCTCTATGTATAGGAATGTTCAACTCTGTGAGTCGAATGCAATCATCACAAAGTAGTTTCTGAGAATGCTTCCATCTAGTTTTTATGGGAAGATTTTCCTTTTCCACCACAGGCCTCAAAGCCCTCCAAATGTCCACTTGCAGATTCTAGAAAAAGAGGGTTTCAGAGCTGCTCTGTCAAGAGGAAAGTTCAATTCTTGAAGTGGAACACAAACATCACAAAGCAGTTTCTGAGAATGCTTCTGTTTAGTTTTTCTGTGAAGATGAACCCGTTTCCAACGAAATCTTCACAGAGGTCCACATATCCACTTGCAGAATCCAAAGAAAGAGAGTTTCAAAACTGCTCCATCAGGAGGATTGTTCACCTCTGTGAGTTGAATGCAGTCATCACAGGAAACATTCTGAGAATGCTTCTGTCTAGGTTTGATGTGAAGATATACCCGTTTCGAAGGAAGGCCACAAAGTGGTCCAAATATCCACGTGCAGATTCTACAAAAAGAGTGTTTGAAAGCTGAACTATGAAAGCAAGGTTCAACTCTGTGAGTTGAACGCAAACATCACAAAGAAATTTCTCAGAATGCTTCCGTGTAGTTCTGGGAAGTTTATCCCGTTTCCAACGAAATCCTCAGAGAGGTCCAAATATCCACTTGCAGATTCTACAGAAAGTGTGTTTGGAAACTGCGCCATCTAAAGGAATGTTCAGCTCTGTTAGTTCAATCCAATGATCACTAAGAATTGTCTGTGAATGCTTCCGTTTGGTTTTTAGATGAAGTTATTTCCTTTACTACAGTAGGCCTCAAAGCAGTCCAAATCTCCAATCGCAGACTCTACAAAAAGATTGTTTACAACCTGCTCTATCTATAGGAATGTTCAACTCTGTGAGTCGAATGCAGTCATCACAAAGTAGTTTCTGAGAATGCTTCCATCTAGTTTTTATGTGAAGATTTTCCTTTTCCACCACAGGCCTCAAAGCCCTCCAAATGTCCACTTGCAGATTCTAGAAAAAGAGGGTTTCAGAGCTGCTCTGTCAAGAGGAAAGTTCAATTCTTGAAGTGGAACACAAACATCACAAAGCAGTTTCTGAGAATGCTTCTGTTTAGTTTTTCTGTGAAGATGAACCCGTTTCCAACGAAATCTTCACAGAGGTCCACATATCAACTTGCAGAATCCAAAGAAAGAGAGTTTCAAAACTGCTCCATCAACAGGATTGTTCACCTCTGTGAGTTGAATGCAGTCATCACAGGAAACATTCTGAGAATGCTTCTGTCTAGGTTTGATGTGAAGATATACCCTTTTCGAAGGAAGGCCACAAAGTGGTCCAAATATCCACTTGCAGATTCTACAAAAAGAGTGTTTGAAAGCTGAACTATGAAAGCAAGGTTCAACTCTGTGAGTTGAATGCAAACATCACAAAGAAGTTTCTCAGAATGCTTCCGTGTAGTTCTGGGAAGTTTATCCCGTTTCCAACGAAATCCTCAGAGAAGTCCAAATATCCACTTGCAGATTCTACAGAAAGTGGGTTTGGAAACTGCTCCATCTAAAGGAATGTTCAGCTCTGTTAGTTCAATCCAATGATCACTAAGAATTGTCTGTGAATGCTTCCGTTTGGTTTTTAGATGAAGTTCTTTCCTTTACTACAGTAGGCCTCAAAGCAGTCCAAATCTCCAATCGCAGATTCTACAAAAAGATTGTTTACAACCTGCACTATCTATAGGAATGTTCAACTCTGTGAGTCGAATGCAATCATCACAAAGTAGTTTCTGAGAATGCTTCCATCTAGTTTTTATGTGAAGATTTTCCTTTTCCACCACAGGCCTCAAATCCCTCCAAATGTCCACTTGCAGATTCTAGAAAAAGAGGGTTTCAGAGCTGCTCTGTCAAGAGGAAATTTCAATTCTTGAAGTGGAACACAAACATCACAAAGCAGTTTCTGAGAATGCTTCTGTTTAGTTTTTCTGTGAAGATGAACCCGTTTCCAACGAAATCTTCACAGAGGTCCACATATCCACTTGCAGAATCCAAAGAAAGAGAGTTTCAAAACTGCTCCATCAGCAGGATTGTTCACCTCTGTGAGTTGAATGCAGTCATCACAGGAAACATTCTGAGAATGCTTCTGTCTAGGTTTGATGTGAAGATATACCCGTTTCGAAGGAAGGCCACAAAGTGGTCCAAATATCCACTTGCAGATTCTACAAAAAGAGTGTTTGAAAGCTGAACTATGAAAGCAAGGTTCAACTCTGTGAGTTGAATGCAAACATCACAAAGAAGTTTCTCAGCATGCTTCCGTGTAGTTCTGGGAAGTTTATCCCGTTTCCAACGAAATCCTCAGAGAGGTCCAAATATCCACTTGCAGATTCTACAGAAAGTGTGTTTGGAAACTGCGCCATCTAAAGGAATGTTCAGCTCTGTTAGTTCAATGCAATGATCACTAAGAATTGTCTGTGAATGCTTCCGTTTGGTTTTTAGATGAAGTTATTTCCTTTACTACAGTAGGCCTCAAAGCAATCCAAATCTCCAATCGCAGATTCTACAAAAAGATTGTTTACAACCTGCTCTATCTATAGGAATGTTCAACTCTGTGAGTCGAATGCAATCATCACAAAGTAGTTTCTGAGAATGCTTCCATCTAGTTTTTATGTGAAGATTTTCCTTTTCCACCACAGGCCTCAAAGCCCTCCAAATGTCCACTTGCAGATTCTAGAAAAAGAGGGTTTCAGAGCTGCTCTGTCAAGAGGAAAGTACAATTCCTGAAGTGGAACACAAACATCACAAAGCAGTTTCTGAGAATGCTTCTGTTTAGTTTTTCTGTGAAGATGAACCCGTTTCCAACGAAATCTTCACAGAGGTCCACATATCCACTTGCAGAATCCAAAGAAAGAGAGTTTCAAAACTGCTCCATCAGCAGGATTGTTCACCTCTGTGAGTTGAATGCAGTCATCACAGGAAACATTCTGAGAATGCTTCTGTCTAGGTTTGATGTGAAGATATACCCGTTTCGAAGGAAGGCCACAAAGTGGTCCAAATATCCACTTGCAGATTCTACAAAAAGAGTGTTTGAAAGCTGAACTATGAAAGCAAGGTTCAACTCTGTGAGTTGAATGCAAACATCACAAAGAAGTTTCTCACAATGCTTCCGTGTAGTTCTGGGAAGTTTATCCCGTTTCCAACGAAATCCTCAGAGAAGTCCAAATATCCACTTGCAGATTCTACAGAAAGTGGGTTTGGAAACTGCTCCATCTAAAGGAATGTTCAGCTCTGTTAGTTCAATCCAATGATCACTAAGAATTGTCTGTGAATGCTTCCGTTTGGTTTTTAGATGAAGTTATTTCCTTTACTACAGTAGGCCTCAAAGCATTCCAAATCTCCAATCGCAGATTCTACAAAAAGATTGTTTACAACCTGCTCTATCTATAGGAATGTTCAACTCTGTGAGTCGAATGCAATCATCACAAAGTAGTTTACTGACAATGCTTATCCATCTAGTTTTTATGTGAAGATTTTCCTTTTGCACCACAGGCCTCAAAACCCTCCAAATGTCCACTTGCAGATTCTAGAAAAAGAGGTTTTCAGAGCTGCCCTGTCAAGAGGAAAGTTCAATTCTTGAAGTGGAACACAAACATCACAAAGCAGTTTCTGAGAATGCTCCTGTTTAGTTTTTCTGTGAAGATGAACCCGTTTCCAACGAAATCTTCACAGAGGTCCACATATCCACTTGCAGAATCCAAAGAAAGAGAGTTTCAAAACTGCTCCATCAGCAGGATGGTTCACCTCTGTGAGTTGAATGCAGTCATCACAGGAAACATTCTGAGAATGCTTCTGTCTAGGTTTGATGTGAAGATATACCCGTTTCGAAGGAAGGCCACAAAGTGGTCCAAATATCCACTTGCAGATTCTACAAAAAGAGTGTTTGAAAGCTGAACTATGAAAGCAAGGTTCAACTCTGTGAGTTGAATGCAAACATCACAAAGAAGTTTCTCACAATGCTTCCGTGTAGTTCTGGGAAGTTTATCCCGTTTCCAACGAAATCCTCAGAGAAGTCCAAATATCCACTTGCAGATTCTACAGAAAGTGTTTTTGGAAAATGCTCCATCTACAGGAATGTTCAGCTCTGTTAGTTCAATGCAATGATCACTAAGAATTGTCTGTGAATGCTTCCGTTTGGTTTTTAGATGAAGTTATTTCCTTTACTACAGTAGGCCTCAAAGCAGTCCAAATCTCCAATCGCAGATTCTACAAAAAGATTGTTTACAACCTGCTCTATCTATAGGAATGTTCAACTCTGTGAGTCGAATGCAATCATCACAAAGTAGTTTCTGAGAATGCTTCCATCTAGTTTTTATGTGAAGATTTTCCTTTTCCACCACAGGCCTCAAAGCCCTCCAAATGTCCACTTGCAGATTCTAGAAAAAGAGGGTTTCAGAGCTGCTCTGTCAAGAGGAAAGTTCAATTCCTGAAGTGGAACACAAACATCACAAAGCAGTTTCTGACAATGCTCCTGTTTAGTTTTTCTGTGAAGATGAACCCGTTTCCAACGAAATCTACACAGAGGTCCACATATCCACTTGCAGAATCCAAAGAAAGAGAGTTTCAAAACTGCTCCATCAGCAGGATTGTTCACCTCTGTGAGTTGAATGCAGTCATCACAGGAAACATTCTGAGAATGCTTCTGTCTAGGTTTGATGTGAAGATATACCCGTTTCGAAGGAAGGCCACAAAGTGGTCCAAATATCCACTTGCAGATTCTACAAAAAGAGTGTTTGAAAGCTGAACTATGAAAGCAAGGTTCAACTCTGTGAGTTGAATGCAAACATCACAAAGAAGTTTCTCAGAATGCTTCCGTGTAGTTCTGGGAAGTTTATCCCGTTTCCAACGAAATCCTCAGAGAAGTCCAAATATCCACTTGCAGATTCTACAGAAATTGTGTTTGGAAACTGCGCCATCTAAACTAATGTTCAGCTCTGTTAGTTCAATCCAATGATCACTAAGAATTGTCTTTGAATACCTCCGTTTGGTTTTTAGATGAAGTTATTTCCTTTACTACAGTAGGCCTCAAAGCAGTCCAAATCTCCAATCGCAGATTCTACAAAAGATTGTTTACAACCTGCTCTATCTATAGGAATGTTCAACTCTGTGAGTCGAATGCAATCATCACAAAGTAGTTTCTGAGAATGCTTCCATCAATTTTTTATGTGAAGATTTTCCTTTTCCACCACAGGCCTCAAAGCCCTCCAAATGTCCACTTGCAGATTCTAGAAAAAGAGGGTTTCAGAGCTGCTCTGTCAAGAGGAAAGTTCAATTCTTGAAGTGGAACACAAACATCACAAAGCAGTTTCTGAGAATGCTCCTGTTTAGTTTTTCTGTGAAGATGAACCCGTTTCCAACGAAATCTTCACAGAGTTCCACATATCCACTTGCAGAATCCAAAGAAAGGGAGTTTCAAAACTGCTCCATCAACAGGATTGTTCACCTCTGTGAGTTGAATGCAGTTATCACAGGAAACATTCTGAGAATGCTTCTGTCTAGGTTTGATGTGAAGATATACCCGTTTCGAAGGAAAGCCACAAAGTGGTCCAAATATCCACTTGCAGATTCTACAAAAAGAGTGTTTGAAAGCTGAACTATGAAAGCAAGTTTCAACTCTGTGAGTTGAATGCAAACATCACAAAGAAGTTTCTCAGAATGCTGCCGTGTAGTTCTGGGAAGTTTATCCCGTTTCCAACGAAATCCTCAGAGAAGTCCAAATATCCACTTGCAGATTCTACAGAAAGTGTGTTTGGAAACTGCGCCATCTAAACTAATGTTCAGCTCTGTTAGTTCAATCCAATGATCACTAAGAATTGTCTTTGAATACCTCCGTTTGGTTTTTAGATGAAGTTATTTCCTTTACTACAGTAGGCCTCAAAGCAGTCCAAATCTCCAATCGCAGATTCTACAAAAGATTGTTTACAACCTGCTCTATCTATAGGAATGTTCAACTCTGTGAGTCGAATGCAATCATCACAAAGTAGTTTCTGAGAATGCTTCCATCTAGTTTTTATGGGAAGATATTCCTTTTCCACCACAGGCCTCAAAGCCCTCCAAATGTCCACTTGCAGATTCTAGAAAAAGAGGGTTTCAGAGCTGCTCTGTCAAGAGGAAAGTTCAATTCTTGAAGTGGAACACAAACATCACAAAGCAGTTTCTGAGAGTGCTCCTGTTTAGTTTTTCTGCGAAGATGAACCCGTTTCCAAAGAAATCTTCACAGAGTTCCACATATCCACTTGCAGAATCCAAAGAAAGGGAGTTTCAAAACTGCTCCATCAACAGGATTGTTCACCTCTGAGAGTTGAATGCAGTTATCACAGGAAACATTCTGAGAATGCTTCTGTCTAGGTTTGATGTGAAGATATACCCGTTTCGAAGGAAGGCCACAAAGTGGTCCAAATATCCACTTGCAGATTCTACAAAAAGAGTGTTTGAAAGCTGAACTATGAAAGCAAGGTTCAACTCTGTGAGTTGAATGCAAACATCACAAAGAAGTTTCTCACAATGCTTCCGTGTAGTTCTGGGAAGTTTATCCCGTTTCCAACGAAATCCTCAGAGAAGTCCAAATATCCACTTGCAGATTCTACATAAAGTGTGTTTGTAAACTGCTCCATCTAAAGGAATGTTCAGCTCTGTTAGTTCAATCCAATGATCACTAAGAATTGTCTGTGAATGCTTCCGTTTGGTTTTTAGATGAAGTTATTTCCTTTACTACAGTAGGCCTCAAAGCAGTCCAAATCTCCAATCGCAGATTCTACAAAAAGTTTGTTTACATCCTGCTCTATCTATAGGAATGTTCAACTCTGTGAGTCGAATGCAATCATCACAAAGTAGTTTCTGAGAATGCTTCCATCTAGTTTTATGTGAAGATTTTCCTTTTCCACCACAGGCCTCAAAGCCCTCCAAATGGCCACTTGCAGATTCTAGAAAAAGAGGGTTTCAGAGCTGCTCTGTCAAGAGGAAAGTTCAATTCTTGAAGTGGAACACAAACATCACAAAGCAGTTTCTGAGAATGCTCCTGTTTAGTTTTTCTGTGAAGATGAACCCGTTTCCAACGAAATCTTCACAGAGGTCCACATATCCACTTGCAGAATCCAAAGAAAGAGAGTTTCAAAACTGCTCCATCAGCAGGATTGTTCACCTCTGTGAGTTGAATGCAGTCATCACAGGAAACATTCTGAGAATGCTTCTGTCAAGGTTTGATGTGAAGATATACCCGTTTCCAAGGAAAGCCACAAAGTGGTCCAAATATCGACTTGCAGATTCTACAAAAAGAGTGTTTGAAAGCTGAACTATGAAAGCAAGGTTCAACTCTGTGAGTTGAATGCAAACATCACAAATAAGTTTCTCAGAATACTTCCGTGTAGTTCTGGGAAGTTTATCCCGTTTCCAACGAAATCCTCAGAGAAGTCCAAATATCCACTTGCAGATTCTACAGAAAGTGGGTTTGGAAACTGCTCCATCTAAAGGAATGTTCAGCTCTGTTAGTTCAATCCAATGATCACTAAGAATTGTCTGTGAATGCTTCCGTTTGGTTTTTAGATGAAGTTATTTCCTTTACTACAGTAGGCCTCAAAGCAGTCCAAATCTCCAATCGCAGATTCTACAAAAAGATTGTTTACAACCTGCTCTATCTATAGGAATGTTCAACTCTGTGAGTCGAATGCAATCATCACAAAGTAGTTTCTGAGAATGCTTCCATCTAGTTTTTATGTGAAGATTTTCCTTTTCCACCACGGGCCTCAAAGCCCTCCAAATGTCCACTTGCAGATTCTAGAAAAAGAGGGTTTCAGAGCTGCTCTGTCAAGAGGAAAGTTCAATTCTTGAAGTGGAACACAAACATCACAAAGCAGTTTCTGAGAATGCTCCTGTTTAGTTTTTCTGTGAAGATGAACCCGTTTCCAACGAAATCTACACAGAGGTCCACATATCCACTTGCAGAATCCAAAGAAAGAGAGTTTCAAAACTGCTCCATCAGCAGGATTGTTCACCTCTGTGAGTTGAATGCAGTCATCACAGGAAACATTCTGAGAATGCTTCTGTCTAGGTTTGATGTGAAGATATACCCGTTTCGAAGGAAGGCCACAAAGTGGTCCAAATATCCACTTGCAGATTCTACAAAAAGAGTGTTTGAAAGCTGAACTATGAAAGCAAGGTTCAACTCTGTGAGTTGAATGCAAACATCACAAAGAAGTTTCTCAGAATGCTTCCGTGTAGTTCTGGGAAGTTTATCCCGTTTCCAACGAAATCCTCAGAGAGGTCCAAATATCCACTTGCAGATTCTACAGAAAGTGGGTTTGGCAACTGCTCCATCTAAAGGAATGTTCAGCTCTGTTAGTTCAATCCAATGATCACAAAGAATTGTCTCTGAATGCTTCCGTTTGGTTTTTAGATGAAGTTATTTCCTTTACTACAGTAGGCCTCAAAGCAGTCCAAATCTCCAATCGCAGATTCTACAAAAAGATTGTTTACAACCTGCTCTATCTATAGGAATGTTCAACTCTGTGAGTCGAATGCAATCATCACAAAGTAGTTTCTGAGAATGCTTCCATCTAGTTTTTATGTGAAGATTTTCCTTTTCCACCACAGGCCTCAAAGCCCTCCAAATGTCCACTTGCAGATTCTAGAATAAGAGGGTTTCAGAGCTGCTCTGTCAAGAGGAAAGTTCAATTCCTGAAGTGGAACACAAACATCACAAAGCAGTTTCTGAGAATGCTTCTGTTTAGTTTTTCTGTGAAGATGAACCCGTTTCCAACGAAATCTTCACAGAGGTCCACATATCAACTTGCAGAATCCAAAGAAAGAGAGTTTCAAAAGTGCTCCATCAACAGGATTGTTCACCTCTGTGAGTTGAATGCAGTCATCACAGGAAACATTCTGAGAATGCTTCTGTCTAGGTTTGATGTGAAGATATACCCGTTTCGAAGGAAGGCCACAAAGTGCTCCAAATATCCACTTGCAGATTCTACAAAAAGAGTGTTTGAAAGCTGAACTATGAAAGCAAGTTTCAACTCTGTGAGTTGAATGCAAACATCACAAAGAAGTTTCTCAGCATGCTTCCGTGTAGTTCTGGGAAGTTTATCCCGTTTCCAACGAAATCCTCAGAGAGGTCCAAATATCCACTTGCAGATTCTACAGAAAGTGTGTTTGGAAACTGCGCCATCTAAAGCAATGTTCAGCTCTGTTAGTTCAATGCAATGATCACTAAGAATTGTCTGTGAATGCTTCCGTTTGGTTTTTAGATGAAGTTATTTCCTTTACTACAGTAGGCCTCAAAGCAGTCCAAATCTCCAATCGCAGATTCTACAAAAAGATTGTTTACAACCTGCTCTATCTATAGGAATGTTCAACTCTGTGAGTCGAATGCAATCATCACAAAGTAGTTTCTGAGAATGCTTCCATCTAGTTTTTATGTGAAGATTTTCCTTTTCCACCACAGGCCTCAAAGCCCTCCAAATGTCCACTTGCAGATTCTAGAATAAGAGGGTTTCAGAGCTGCTCTGTCAAGAGGAAAGTTCAATTCTTGAAGTGGAACATAAACATCACAAAGCAGTTTCTGAGAATGCTCCTGTTTAGTTTTTCTGTGAAGATGAACCCGTTTCCAACGAAATCTTCACAGAGGTCCACATATCCACTTGCAGAATCCAAAGAAAGAGAGTTTCAAAACTGCTCCATCAGCAGGATTGTTCACCTCTGTGAGTTGAATGCAGTCATCACAGGAAACATTCTGAGAATGCTTCTGTCTAGGTTTGATGTGAAGATATACCCGTTTCGAAGAGAGGCCACAAAGTGGTCCAAATATCCACTTGCAGATTCTACAAAAAGAGTGTTTGAAAGCTGAACTATGAAAGCAAGGTTCAACTCTGTGAGTTGAATGCAAATATCACAAAGAAGTTTCTCAGAATGCTTCCGTGTAGTTCTGGGAATTTTATCCCGTTTCCAACGAAATCCTCAGAGAGGTCCAAATATCCACTTGCAGATTCTACAGAAAGTGTGTTTGGAAACTGCGCCATCTAAAGGAATATTCAGCTCTGTTAGTTCAATGCAATGATCACTAAGAATTGTCTGTGAATGCTTCCGTTTGGTTTTTAGATGAAGTTATTTCCTTTACTACAGTAGGCCTCAAAGCAGTCCAAATCTCCAATCGCAGATTCTACAAAAAGATTGTTTACAACCTGCTCTATCTATAGGAATGTTCAACTCTGTGAGTCGAATGCAATCATCACAAAGTAGTTTCTGAGAATGCTTCCATCTAGTTTTTATGTGAAGATTTTCCTTTTCCACCACAGGCCTCAAAGCCCTCCAAATGTCCACTTGCAGATTCTAGAAAAAGAGGGATTCAGAGCTGCTCTGTCAAGAGGAAAGTTCAATTCTTGAAGTGGAACACAAACATCACAAAGCAGTTTCTGAGAATGCTCCTGTTTAGTTTTTCTGTGAAGATGAACCCGTTTCCAACGAAATCTACACAGAGGTCCACATATCCACTTGCAGAATCCAAAGAAAGAGAGTTTCAAAACTGCTCCATCAGCAGGATTGTTCACCTCTGTGAGTTGAATGCAGTCATCACAGGAAACATTCTGAGAATGCTTCTGTCTAGGTTTGATGTGAAGATATACCCGTTTCGAAGGAAGGCCACAAAGTGGTCCAAATATCCACTTGCAGATTCTACAAAAAGAGTGTTTGAAAGCTGAACTATGAAAGCAAGGTTCAACTCTGTGAGTTGAATGCAAACATCACAAAGAAGTTTCTCACAATGCTTCCGTGTAGTTCTGGGAAGTATATCCCGTTTCCAACGACATCCTCAGAGAAGTCCAAATATCCACTTGCAGATTCTACAGAAAGTGTGTTTGGAAACTGCTCCATCTAAAGGAATGTTCAGCTCTGTTAGTTCAATGCAATGATCACTAAGAATTGTCTGTGAATGCTTCCGTTTGGTTTTTAGATGAAGTTATTTCCTTTACTACAGTAGGCCTCAAAGCAGTCCAAATCTCCAATCGCAGATTCTACAAAAAGATTGTTTACAACCTGCTCTATCTATAGGAATGTTCAACTCTGTGAGTCGAATGCAATCATCACAAAGTAGTTTCTGAGAATGCTTCCATCTAGTTTTTATGTGAAGATTTTCCTTTTCCACCACAGGCCTCAAAGCCCTCCAAATGTCCACTTGCAGATTCTAGAATAAGAGGGTTTCAGAGCTGTTCTGTCAAGAGGAAAGTTCAATTCCTGAAGTGGAACACAAACATCACAAAGCAGTTTCTGAGAATGCTCCTGTTTAGTTTTTCTGTGAAGATGAACCCGTTTCCAACGAAATCTTCACAGAGGTCCACATATCCACTTGCAGAATCCAAAGAAAGAGAGTTTCAAAACTGCTCCATCAGCAAGATTGTTCACCTCTGTGAGTTGAATGCAGTCATCACAGGAAACATTCTGAGAATGCTTCTGTCTAGGTTTGATGTGAAGATATACCCCTTTCGAAGGAAGGCCACAAAGTGGTCCAAATATCCACTTGCAGATTCTACAAAAAGAGTGTTTGAAAGCTGAACTATGAAAGCAAGGTTCAACTCTGTGAGTTGAATGCAAACATCACAAAGAATTTTCTCAGAATGCTTCCGTGTAGTTCTGGGAAGTTTATCCCTTTTCCAACGAAATCCTCAGAGAGGTCCAAATATCCACTTGCAGATTCTACAGAAAGTGTGTTTGGAAACTGCGCCATCTAAAGGAATGTTCAGCTCTGTTGGTTCAATCCAATGATCACTAAGAATTGTCTGTGAATGCTTCCGTTTGGTTTTTAGATGAAGTTATTTCCTTTACTACAGTAGGCCTCAAAGCAGTCCAAATCTCCAATCGCAGATTCTACAAAAAGATTGTTTACAACCTGCTCTATCTATAGGAATGTTCAACTCTGTGAGTCGAATGCAATCATCACAAAGTAGTTTCTGAGAATGCTTCCAGCTAGTTTTTATGGGAAGATTTTCCTTTTCCACCACAGGCCTCAAAGCCCTCCAAATGTCCACTTGCAGATTCTAGAAAAAGAGGGTTTCAGAGCTGCTCTGTCAAAAGGAAAGTTCAATTCTTCAAGTGGAACACAAACATCACAAAGCAGTTTCTGAGAATGCTCCTGTTAATTTTTCTGTGAAGATGAACCCGTTTCCAACGAAATCTTCACAGTGTTCCACATATCCACTTGCAGAATCAAAAGAAAGGGAGTTTCAAAACGGCTCCATCAACAGGATTGTTCACCTCTGTGAGTTGAATGCAGTCATCACAGGAAACATTCTGAGAATGCTTCTGTCTAGGTTTGATGTGAAGATATACCCGTTTCAAAGGAAGGCCACAAAGTGGTCCAAATATCCACTTGCAGATTCTACAAAAAGAGTGTTTGAAAGCTGAACTATGAAAGCAAGGTTCAACTCTGTGAGTTGAATGCAAACATCACAAAGAAGTTTCTCAGAATGCTTCCGTGTAGTTCTGGGAAGTTTATCCCGTTTCCAACGAAATCCTCAGAGAGGTCCAAATATCCACTTGCAGATTCTACAGAAAGTGTGTTTGGAAACTACGCCATCTAAAGGAATCTTCAGCTCTGTTAGATCAATGCAATGATCACTAAGAATTGTCTGTGAATGCTTCCGTTTGGTTTTTAGATGAAGTTATTTCCTTTACTACAGTAGGCCTCAAAGCAGTCCAAATCTCCAATCGCAGATTCTACAAAAAGATTGTTTACAACCTGCTCTATCTATAGGAATGTTCAACTCTGTGAGTCGAATGCAATCATCACAAAGTAGTTTCTGAGAATGCTTCCATCTAGTTTTTATGTGAAGATTTTCCTTTTGCACCACAGGCCTCAAAGCCCTCCAAATGTCCACTTGCAGATTCTAGAAAAAGAGGGTATCAGAGCTGCTCTGTCAAGAGGAAAGTTCAATTCTTGATGTGGAACACAAACATCACAAAGCAGTTTCTGAGAATGCTCCTGTTTAGTTTTTCTGTGAAGATGAACCCGTTTCCAACGAAATCTTCACAGAGGTCCACATATCCACTTGCAGAATCCAAAGAAAGAGAGTTTCAAAACTGCTCCATCAGCAGGATTGTTCACCTCTGTGAGTTGAATGCAGTCATCACAGGAAACATTCTGAGAATGCTTCTGTCTAGGTTTGATGTGAAGATATACCCGTTTCGAAGGAAGGCCCCAAAGTGGTCCAAATATCCACTTGCAGATTCTACAAAAAGAGTGTTTGAAAGCTGAACTATGAAAGCAAGGTTCAACTCTGTGAGTTGAATGCAAACAACACAAAGAAGTTTCTCAGAATGCTTCCGTGTAGTTCTGGGAAGTTTATCCCGTTTCCAACGAAATCCTCAGAGAGGTCCAAATATCCACTTGCAGATTCTACAGAAAGTGTGTTTGGAAACTGCTCCATCTAAAGGAATGTTCAGCTCTGTTAGTTCAATCCAATGATCACTAAGAATTGTCTGTGAATGCTTCCGTTTGGTTTTTAGATGAAGTTATTTCCTTTACTACAGTAGGCCTCAAAGCAGTCCAAATCTCCAATCGCAGATTCTACAAAAAGATTGTTTACAACCTGCTCTATCTATAGGAATGTTCAACTCTGTGAGTCGAATGCAATCATCACAAATAGTTTCTGAGAATGCTTCCATCTAGTTTTTATGTGAAGATTTTCCTTTTCCACCACAGGCCTCAAAGCCCTCCAAATGTCCACTTGCAGATTCTAGAAAAAGAGGGTTTCAGAGCTGCTCTGTCAAGAGGAAAGTTCAATTCTTGAAGTGGAACACAAACATCACAAAGCAGTTTCTGAGAATGCTCCTGTTTAGTTTTTCTGTGAAGATGAACCCGTTTCCAACGAAATCTTCACAGAGGTCCACATATCCACTTGCAGAATCCAAAGAAAGAGAGTTTCAAAACTGCTCCATCAGCAGGATTGTTCACCTCTGTGAGTTGAATGCAGTCATCACAGGAAACATTCTGAGAATGCTTCTGTCTAGGTTTGATGTGAAGATATACCCGTTTCGAAGGAAGGCCACAAAGTGGTCCAAATATCCACTTGCAGATTCTACAAAAAGAGTGTTTGAAAGCTGAACTATGAAAGCAAGGTTCAACTCTGTGAGTTGAATGCAAACATCACAAAGAAGTTTCTCACAATGCTTCCGTGTAGTTCTGGGAAGTTTATCCCGTTTCCAACGAAATCCTCAGAGAAGTCCAAATATCCACTTGCAGATTCTACAGAAAGTGTGTTTGGAAACTGCGCCATCTAAAGGAATGTTCAGCTCTGTTAGTTCAATGCAATGATCACTAAGAATTGTCTGTGAATGCTTCCGTTTGGTTTTTAGATGAAGTTATTTCCTTTACTACAGTAGGCCTCAAAGCAGTCCAAATCTCCAATCGCAGATTCTACAAAAAGATTGTTTACAACCTGCTCTATCTATAGGAATGTTCAACTCTGTGAGTCGAATGCAATCATCACAAAGTAGTTTCTGAGAATGCTTCCATCTAGTTTTTATGTGAAGATTTTCCTTTTCCACCACAGGCCTCAAAGCCCTCCAAATGTCCACTTGCAGATTCTAGAATAAGAGGGTTTCAGAGCTGCTCTGTCAAGAGGAAAGTTCAATTCCTGAAGTGGAACACAAACATAACAAAGCAGTTTCTGAGAATGCTTCTGTTTAGTTTTTCTGTGAAGATGAACCCGTTTCCAACGAAATCTTCACAGAGGTCCACATATCCACTTGCAGAATCCAAAGAAAGAGAGTTTCAAAACTGCTCCATCAACAGGATTGTTCACCTCTGTGAGTTGAATGCAGTCATCACAGGAAACATTCTGAGAATGCTTCGGTCTAGGTTTGATGTGAAGATATACCCGTTTCGAAGGAAGGCCACAAAGTGGTCCAAATATCCACTTGCAGATCCTACAAAAAGAGTGTTTGAAAGCTGAACTATGAAAGCAAGTTTCAACTCTGTGAGTTGAATGCAAACATCACAAAGAAGTTTCTCAGAATGCTTCCGTGTAGTTCTGGGAAGTTTATCCCGTTTCCAACGAAATAATCAGAGAAGTCCAAATATCCACTTGCAGATTCTACAGAAAGTGTGTTTGGAAACTGCTCCATCTAAAGGAATGTTCAGCTCTGTTAGTTCAATCCAATGATCACTAAGAATTGTCTGTGAATGCTTCCGTTTGGTTTTTAGATGAAGTTATTTCCTTTACTACAGTAGGCCTCAAAGCAGTCCAAATCTCCAATCGCAGATTCTACAAAAAGATTGTTTACAACCTGCTCTATCTATAGGAATGTTCAACTCTGTGAGTCAAAAGCAATCATCACAAAGTAGTTTCTGAGAATGCTTCCATCTAGTTTTTATGTGAAGATTTTCCTTTTCCACCACAGGCCTCAAAGCCCTCCAAATGTCCACTTGCAGATTCTAGAATAAGAGGGTTTCAGAGCTGCTCGGTCAAGAGGAAAGTTCAATTCCTGAAGTGAAACACAAACATCACAAAGCAGTTTCTGAGAATGCTTCTGTTTAGTTTTTCTGTGAAGATGAACCCGTTTCCAACGAAATCTTCACAGAGGTCCACATATCCACTTGCAGAATCCAAAGAAAGAGAGTTTCAAAACTGCTCCATCAGCAGGATTGTTCACCTCTGTGAGTTGAATGCAGTCATCACAGGAAACATTCTGAGAATGCTTCTGTCTAGGTTTGATGTGAAGATATACCCGTTTCGAAGGAAGGCCACAAAGTGGTCCAAATATCCACTTGCAGATTCTACAAAAAGAGTGTTTGAAAGCTGAACTATGAAAGCAAGGTTCAACTCTGTGAGTTGAATGCAAACATCACAAAGAAGTTTCTCAGAATGCTTCCGTGTAGTTCTGGGAAGTTTATCCCATTTCCAACGAAATCCTCAGAGAAGTCCAAATATCCACTTGCAGATTCTACAGAAAGTGGGTTTGGAAACTGCTCCATCTAAAGGAATGTTCAGCTCTGTTAGTTCAAACCAATGATCACTAAGAATTGTCTGTGAATGCTTCCGTTTGGTTTTTAGATGAAGTTATTTCCTTTACTACAGTAGGCCTCAAAGCAGTCCAAATCTCCAATCGCAGATTCTACAAAAACATTGTTTACAACCTGCTCTATCTATAGGAATGTTCAACTCTGTGAGTCGAATGCAATCATCACAAAGTAGTTTCTGAGAATGCTTCCATCTAGTTTTTATGTGAAGATTTTCCTTTTCCACCACAGGCCTCAAAGCCCTCCAAATGTCCACTTGCAGATTCTAGAAAAAGAGGGTTTCAGAGCTGCTCTGTCAAGAGGAAAGTTCAATTCTTGAAGTGGAACACAAACATCACAAAGCAGTTTCTGAGAATGCTCCTGTTTAGTTTTTCTGTGAAGATGAACCCGTTTCCAACGAAATCTTCACAGAGGTCCACATATCCACTTGCAGAATCCAAAGAAAGAGAGTTTCAAAACTGCTCCATCAGCAGGATTGTTCACCTCTGTGAGTTGAATGCAGTCATCACAGGAAACATTCTGAGAATGCTTCTGTCTAGGTTTGATGTGAAGATATACCCGTTTCGAAGGAAGGCCACAAAGTGGTCCAAATATCCACTTGCAGATTCTACAAAAAGAGTGTTTGAAAGCTGAACTATGAAAGCAAGGTTCAACTCTGTGAGTTGAATGCAAACATCACAAATAAGTTTCTCAGCATGCTTCCGTGTAGTTCTGGGAAGTTTATCCCGTTTCCAACGAAATCCTCAGAGAGGTCCAAATATCCACTTGCAGATTCTACAGAAAGTGGGTTTGGAAACTGCGCCATCTAAAGCAATGTTCAGCTCTGTTAGTTCAATGCAATGATCACTAAGAATTGTCTGTGAATGCTTCCGTTTGGTTTTTAGATGAAGTTATTTCCTTTACTACAGTAGGCCTCAAAGCAGTCCAAATCTCCAATCGCAGATTCTACAAAAAGATTGTTTACAACCTGCTCTATCTATAGGAATGTTCAACTCTGTGAGTCGAATGCAATCATCACAAAGTAGTTTCTGAGAATGCTTCCATCTAGTTTTTATGTGAAGATTTTCCTTTTCCACCACAGGCCTCAAAGCCCTCCAAATGTCCACTTGCAGATTCTAGAAAAAGAGGGTTGCAGAGCTGCTCTGTCAAGATGAAAGTTCAATTCTTGAAGTGGAACACAAACATCACAAAGTAGTTTCTGAGAATGCTTCTGTTTAGTTTTTCTGTGAAGATGAACCCGTTTCCAACGAAATCTTCACAGAGGTCCTCATATCAACTTGCAGAATCCAAAGAAAGAGAGTTTCAAAAGTGCTCCATCAACAGGATTGTTCACCTCTGTGAGTTGAATGCAGTCATCACAGGAAACATTCTGAGAATGCTTCTGTCTAGGTTTGATGTGAAGATATACCCGTTTCGAAGGAAGGCCACAAAGTGGTCCAAATATCCACTTGCAGATTCTACAAAAAGAGTGTTTGAAAGCTGAACTATGAAAGCAAGGTTCAACTCTGTGAGTTGAATGCAAACATCACAAAGAAGTTTCTCAGAATGCTTCCGTGTAGTTCTGGGAAGTTTATCCCGTTTCCAACGAAATCCTCAGAGAAGTCCAAATATCCACTTGCAGATTCTACAGAAAGTGGGTTTGGAAACTGCTCCATCTAAAGGAATGTTCAGCTCTGTTAGTTCAATCCAATGATCACTAAGAATTGTCTGTGAATGCTTCCGTTTGGTTTTTAGATGAAGTTATTTCCTTTACTACAGTAGGCCTCAAAGCAGTCCAAATCTCCAATCGCAGATTCTACAAAAAGATTGTTTACAACCTGCTCTATGTATAGGAATGTTCAACTCTGTGAGTCGAATGCAATCATCACAAAGTAGTTTCTGAGAATGCTTCCATCTAGTTTTTATGTGAAGATTTTCCTTTTCCACCACAGGCCTCAAAGCCCTCCAAATCTCCACTTGCAGATTCTAGAAAAAGAGGGTTTCAGAGCTGCTCTGTCAAGAGGAAAGTTCAATTCTTGAAGTGGAACACTAACATCACAAAGCAGTTTCCTGAGAATGCTCCTGTTTAGTTTTTCTGTGAAGATGAACCCGTTTCCAACGAAATCTTCACAGAGGTCCACATATCCACTTGCAGAATCCAAAGAAAGAGAGTTTCAAAACTGCTCCATCAGCAGGATTGTTCACCTCTGTGAGTTGAATGCAGTCATCACAGGAAACATTCTGAGAATGCTTCTGTCTAGGTTTGATATGAAGATATACCCGTTTCGAAGGAAGGCCACAAAGTGGTCCAAATATCCACTTGCAGATTCTACAAAAAGAGTGTTTGAAAGCTGAACTATGAAAGCAAGGTTCAACTCTGTGAGTTGAATGCAAACATCACAAAGAAGTTTCTCACAATGCTTCCGTGTAGTTCTGGGAAGTTTATCCCGTTTCCAACGAAATCCTCAGAGAAGTCCAAATATCCACTTGCAGATTCTACAGAAAGTGTGTTTGGAAACTGCTCCATCTAAAGGAATGTTCAGCTCTGTTAGTTCAATGCAATGATCACTAAGAATTGTCTGTGAATGCTTCCGTTTGGTTTTTAGATGAAGTTATTTCCTTTACTACAGTAGGCCTCAAAGCAGTCCAAATCTCCAATCGCAGATTCTACAAAAAGATTGTTTACAACCTGCTCTATCTATAGGAATGTTCAACTCTGTGAGTCGAATGCAATCATCACAAAGTAGTTTCTGAGAATGCTTCCATCTAGTTTTTATGTGAAGATATTCCTTTTCCACCACAGGCCTCAAAGCCCTCCAAATGTCCACTTGCAGATTCTAGAATAAGAGGGTTTCAGAGCTGCTCTGTCAAGAAGAAAGTTCAATTCATAAAGTGGAACACAAACATCACAAAGCAGTTTCTGAGAATGCTTCTGTTTAGTTTTTCTGTGAAGATGAACCCGTTTCCAACGAAATCTTCACAGAGGTCCACATATCCACTTGCAGAATCCAAAGAAGGAGAGTTTCAAAACTGCTCCATCAGCAGGATTGTTCACCTCTGTGAGTTGAATGCAGTCATCACAGGAAACATTCTGAGAATGCTTCTGTCTAGGTTTGATGTGAAGATATACCCGTTTCGAAGGAAGGCCACAAAGTGGTCCAAATATCCACTTGCAGATTCTACAAAAAGAGTGTTTGAAAGCTGAACTATGAAAGCAAGGTTCAACTCTGTGAGTTGAATGCAAACATCACAAAGAAGTTTCTCAGAATGCTTCCGTGTAGTTCTGGGAAGTTTATCCCGTTTCCAACGAAATCCTCAGAGAGGTCCAAATATCCACTTGCAGATTCTACAGAAAGTGTGTTTGGAAACTGCTCCATCTAAAGGAATGTTCAGCTCTGTTAGTTCAATCCAATGATCACTAAGAATTGTCTGTGAATGCTTCCAGTTTGGTTTTTAGATGAAGTTATTTCCTTTACTACAGTAGGCCTCAAAGCAGTCCAAATCTCCAATCGCAGATTCTACAAAAAGATTGTTTTCAACCTGCTCTATCTATAGGAATGTTCAACTCTGTGAGTCGAATGCAATCATCACAAAGTAGTTTCTGAGAATGCTTCCATCTAGTTTTTATGTGAAGATTTTCCTTTTCCACCACAGGCCTCAAAGCCCTCCAAATGTCCACTTGCAGATTCTAGAAAAAGAGGGTTTCAGAGCTGCTCTGTCAAGAGGAAAGTTCAATTCTTGAAGTGGAACACAAACATCACAAAGCAGTTTCTGAGAATGTTTCTGTTTAGTTTTTCTGTGAAGATGAACCCGTTTCCAACGAAATCTTCACAGAGGTCCACATATCCACTTGCAGAATCCAAAGAAAGAGAGTTTCAAAACTGCTCCAACAGCAGGATTGTTCACCTCTGTGAGTTGAATGCAGTCATCACAGGAAACATTCTGAGAATGCTTCTGTCTAGGTTTGATGTGAAGATATACCCGTTTCGAAGGAAGGCCACAAAGTGGTCCAAATATCCACTTGCAGATTCTACAAAAAGAGTGTTTGAAAGCTGAACTATGAAAGCAAGGTTCAACTCTGTGAGTTGAATGCAAACATCACAAAGAAGTTTCTCACAATGCTTCCGTGTAGTTCTGGGAAGTTTATCCCGTTTCCAACGAAATCCTCAGAGAGGTCCAAATATCCACTTGCAGATTCTACAGAAAGTGTGTTTGGAAACTGCTCCATCTAAAGGAATGTTCAGCTCTGTTAGTTCAATCCAATGATCACTAAGAATTGTCTGTGAATGCTTCCGTTTGGTTTTTAGATGAAGTTATTTCCTTTACTACAGTAGGCCTCAAAGCAGTCCAAATCTCCAATCGCAGATTCTACAAAAAGATTGTTTTCAACCTGCTCTATCTATAGGAATGTTCAACTCTGTGAGTCGAATGCAATCATCACAAAGTAGTTTCTGAGAATGCTTCCATCTAGTTTTTATGTGAAGATTTTCCTTTTCCACCACAGGCCTCAAAGCCCTCCAAATGTCCACTTGCAGATTCTAGAAAAAGAGGGTTTCAGAGCTGCTCTGTCAAGAGGAAAGTTCAATTCTTGAAGTGGAACACAAACATCACAAAGCAGTTTCTGAGAATGCTTCTGTTTAGTTTTTCTGTGAAGATGAACCAGTTTCCAACGAAATCTTCACAGAGGTCCACATATCCACTTGCAGAATCCAAAGAAAGAGAGTTTCAAAACTGCTCCATTACCAGGATTGTTCACCTCTGTGAGTTGAATGCAGTCATCACAGGAAACATTCTGAGAATGCTTCTGTCTAGGTTTGATGTGAAGATATACCCTTTTCAAAGGAAGGCCACAAAGTGGTCCAAATATCCACTTGCAGATTCTACAAAAAGAGTGTTTGAAAGCTGAACTATGAAAGCAAGGTTCAACTCTGTGAGTTGAATGCAAACATCACAAAGAAGTTTCTCACAATGCTTCCGTGTAGTTCTGGGAAGTTTATCCCTTTTCCAACGAAATCCTCAGAGAGGTCCAAATATCCACTTGCAGATTCTACAGAAAGTGTGTTTGGAAACTGCGCCATCTAAAGGAATGTTCAGCTCTGTTAGTTCAATGCAATGATCACTAAGAATTGTCTGTGAATGCTTCCGTTTGGTTTTTAGATGAAGTTATTTCCTTTACTACAGTAGACCTCAAAGCAGTCCAAATCTCCAATCGCAGATTCTACAAAAAGATTGTTTACAATCTGCTCTATCTATAGGAATGTTCAACTCTGTGAGTCGAATGCAATCATCACAAAGTAGTTTCTGAGAATGCTTCCATCTAGTTTTTATGTGAAGATTTTCCTTTTCCACCACAGGCCTCAAAGCCCTCCAAATGTCCACTTGCAGATTCTAGAAAAAGAGGGTTTCAGAGCTGCTCTGTCAAGAGGAAAGTTCAATTCTTGAAGTGGAACACAAACATCACAAAGCAGTTTCTGAGAATGCTCCTGTTTAGTTTTTCTGTGAAGATGAACCCGTTTCCAACGAAATCTTCACAGAGGTCCACATATCCACTTGCAGAATCCAAAGAAAGAGAGTTTCAAAACTGCTCCATCAGCAGGATTGTTCACCTCTGTGAGTTGAATGCAGTCATCACAGGAAACATTCTGAGAATGCTTCTGTCTAGGTTTGATGTGAAGATATACCCGTTTCGAAGGAAGGCCACAAAGTGGTCCAAATATCCACTTGCAGATTCTACAAAAAGAGTGTTTGAAAGCTGAACTATGAAAGCAAGGTTCAACTCTGTGAGTTGAATGCAAACATCACAAAGAAGTTTCTCAGAATGCTTCTGTGTAGTTCTGGGAATTTTATCCCGTTTCCAACGAAATCCTCAGAGAGGTCCAAATATCCACTTGCAGATTCTACAGAAAGTGTGTTTGGAAACTGCGCCATCTAAGGGAATGTTCAGCTATGTTAGTTCAATCCAATGATCACTAAGAATTGTCTGTGAATGCTTCCGTTTGGTTTTTAGATGAAGTTATTTCCTTTACTACAGTAGGCCTCAAAGCAGTCCAAATCTCCAATCGCAGATTCTACAAAAAGATTGTTTACAACCTGCGCTATCTATAGGAATGTTCAACTCTGTGAGTCGAATGCAATCATCACAAAGTAGTTTCTGAGAATGCTTCCATCTAGTTTTTATGGGAAGATTTTCCTTTTCCACCACAGGCCTCAAAGCCCTCCAAATGTCCACTTGCAGATTCTAGAAAAAGAGGGTTTCAGAGCTGCTCTGTCAAGAGGAAAGTTCAATTCTTGAAGTGGAACACAAACATCACAAAGCAGTTTCTGAGAATGCTTCTGTTTAGTTTTTCTGTGAAGATGAACCCGTTTCCAACGAAATCTTCACAGAGGTCCACATATCCACTTGCAGAATCCAAAGAAAGAGAGTTTCAAAACTGCTCCATCAGCAGGATTGTTCACCTCTGTGAGTTGAATGCAGTCATCACAGGAAACATTCTGAGAATGCTTCTGTCTAGGTTTGATGTGAAGATATACCCGTTTCGAAGGAAGGCCAGAAAGTGGTCCAAATATCCACTTGCAGATTCTACAAAAAGAGTGTTTGAAAGCTGAACTATGAAAGCAAGGTTCAACTCTGTGAGTTGAATGCAAACATCACAAAGAAGTTTCTCAGAATGCTTCCGTGTAGTTCTGGGAAGTTTATCCCGTTTCCAACGAAATCCTCAGAGAAGTCCAAATATCCACTTGCAGATTCTACAGAAAGTGTGTTTGGAAACTGCGCCATCTAAAGGAATGTTCAGCTCTGTTAGTTCAATGCAATGATCACTAAGAATTGTCTGTGAATGCTTCCGTTTGGTTTTTAGATGAAGTTATTTCCTTTACTACAGTAGGCCTCAAAGCAGTCCAAATCTCCAATCGCAGATTCTACAAAAACATTGTTTACAACCTGCTCTATCTATAGGAATGTTCAACTCTGTGAGTCGAATGCAATCATCACAAAGTAGTTTCTGAGAATGCTTCCATCTAGTTTTTATGTGAAGATTTTCCTTTTCCACCACAGGCCTCAAAGCCCTCCAAATGTCCACTTGCAGATTCTAGAAAAAGAGGGTTTCAGAGCTGCTCTGTCAAGAGGAAAGTTCAATTCCTGAAGTGGAACACAAACATCACAAAGCAGTTTCTGAGAATGCTCCTGTTTAGTTTTTCTGTGAAGATGAACCCGTTTCCAACGAAATCTTCACAGAGGTCCACATATCCACTTGCAGAATCCAAAGAAAGAGAGTTTCAAAGCTGCTCCATCAGCAGGATTGTTCACCCCTGTGAGTTGAATTCAGTCATCACAGGAAACATTCTGAGAATGCTTCTGTCTAGGTTTGATGTGAAGATATACCCGTTTCGAAGGAAGGCCACAAAGTGGTCCAAATATCCACTTGCAGATTCTACAAAAAGAGTGTTTGAAAGCTGAACTATGAAAGCAAGGTTCAACTCTGTGAGTTGAATGCAAACATCACAAAGAAGTTTCTCAGAATACTTCCGTGTAGTTCTGGGAAGTTTATCCTGTTTCCAACGAAATCCTCAGAGAGGTCCAAATATCCACTTGCAGATTCTACAGAAAGAGTGTTTGGAATCTCCTCCATCTAAAGGAATGTTCAGCTCTGTTAGTTCAAACCAATGATCACTAAGAATTGTCTGTGAATGCTTCCGTTTGGTTTTTAGATGAAGTTATTTCCTTTACTACAGTAGGCCTCAAAGCAGTCCAAATCTCCAATCGCAGATTCTACAAAAAGATTGTTTACAACCTGCTCTATCTATAGGAATGTTCAACTCTGTGAGTCGAATGCAATCATCACAAAGTTGTTTCTCAGAATGCTTCCATCTAGTTTTTATGTGAAGATTTTCCTTTTCCACCACAGGCCTCAAAGCCCTCCAAATGTCCACTTGCAGATTCTAGAAAAAGAGGGTTTCAGAGCTGCTCTGTCAAGAGGAAAGTTCAATTCTTGAAGTGGAACACAAACATCACAAAGCAGTTTCTGAGAATGCTCCTGTTTAGTTTTTCTGTGAAGATGAACCCGTTTCCAACGAAATCTTCACAGACGTCCACATATCCACTTGCAGAATCCAAAGAAAGAGAGTTTCAAAACTGCTCCATCAGCAGGATTGTTCACCTCTGTGAGTTGAATGCAGTCATCACAGGAAACATTCTGAGAATGCTTCTGTCTAGGTTTGATGTGAAGATATACCCGTTTCGAAGGAAGGCCACAAAGTGGTCCAAATATCCACTTGCAGATTCTACAAAAAGAGTGTTTGAAAGCTGAACTATGAAAGCAAGGTTCAACTCTGTGAGTTGAATGCAAACATCACAAAGAAGTTTCTCAGAATGCTTCCGTGTAGTTCTGGGAAGTTTATCCCGTTTCCAACGAAATCCTCAGAGAAGTCCAAATATCCACTTGCAGATTCTACAGAAAGTGTGTTTGGAAACTGCTCCATCTAAAGGAATGTTCAGCTCTGTTAGTTCAATCCAATGATCACTAAGAATTTTCTGTGAATGCTTCCGTTTGGTTTTTAGATGAAGTTATTTCCTTTACTACAGTAGGCCTCAAAGCAGTCCAAATCTCCAATCGCAGATTCTACAAAAAGATTGTTTACAACCTGCTCTATGTATAGGAATGTTCAACTCTGTGAGTCGAATGCAATCATCACAAAGTAGTTTCTGAGAATGCTTCCATCTAGTTTTTATGTGAAGATTTTCCTTTTCCACCACAGGCCTCAAAGCCCTCCAAATGTCCACTTGCAGATTCTAGAAAAAGAGGGTTTCAGAGCTGCTCTGTCAAGAGGAAAGTTCAATTCTTGAAGTGGAACACAAACATCACAAAGCAGTTTCTGAGAATGCTTCTGTTTAGTTTTTCTGTGAAGATGAACCAGTTTCCAACGAAATCTTCACAGAGGTCCACATATCAACTTGCAGAATCCAAAGAAAGAGAGTTACAAAACTGTTCCATCAACAGGATTGTTCACCTCTGTGAGTTGAATGCAGTCATCACAGGAAACATTCTGAGAATGCTTCTGTCTAGGTTTGATGTGAAGATATACCCGTTTCAAAGGAAGGCCACAAAGTGGTCCAAATATCCACTTGCAGATTCTACAAAAAGAGTGTTTGAAAGCTGAACTATGAAAGCAAGGTTCAGCTCTGTGAGTTGAATGCAAACATCACAAAGAAGTTTCTCACAATGCTTCCGTGTAGTTCTGGGAAGTTTATCCCGTTTCCAACGAAATCCTCAGAGAAGTCCAAATATCCCCTTGCAGATTCTACAGAAAGTGGGTTTGGAAACTGCTCCATCTAAAGGAATGTTCAGCTCTGTTAGTTCAATCCAATGATCACTAAGAATTGTCTGTGAATGCTTCCGTTTGGTTTTTAGATGAAGTTATTTCCTTTACTACAGTAGGCCTCAAAGCAGTCGAAATCTCCAATCGCAGATTCTACAAAAAGATTGTTTACAACCTGCTCTATCTATAGGAATGTTCAACTCTGTGAGTCGAATGCAATCATCACAAAGTAGTTTCTGAGAATGCTTCCATCTAGTTTTTATGTGAAGATTTTCCTTTTCCACCACAGGCCTCAAAGCCCTCCAAATGTCCACTTGCAGATTCTAGAAAAAGAGGGTTTCAGAGCTGCACTGTCAAGAGGAAAGTTCAATTCTTGATGTGGAACACAAACATCACAACGCAGTTTCTGAGAATTCTTCTGTTTAGTTTTTCTGTGAAGATGAACCCGTTTCCAACGAAATCTTCACAGAGGTCCACATATCCACTTGCAGAATCCAAAGAAAGAGAGTTTCAAAACTGCTCCATCAACAGGATTGTTCGCCTCTGTGAGTTGAATGCATTCATCACAGGAAACATTCTGAGAATGCTTCTGTCTAGGTTTGATGTGAAGATATACCCGTTTCGAAGGAAGGCCACAAAGTGGTCCAAATATCCACTTGCAGATTCTACAAAAAGAGTGTTTGAAAGCTGAACTATGAAAGCAAGGTTCAACTCTGTGAGTTGAATGCAAACATCACAAAGACGTTTCTCAGAATGCTTCCGTGTAGTTCTGGGAAGTTTATCCCGTTTCCAACGAAATCCTCAGAGAAGTCCAAATATCCACTTGCAGATTCTACAGAAAGTGCGTTTGGAAAATGCTCCATCTAAAGGAATGTTCAGCTCTGTTAGTTCAATCCAATGATCACTAAGAATTGTCTGTGAATGCTTCCGTTTGGTTTTTAGATGAAGTTATTTCCTTTACTACAGTAGGCCTCAAAGCAGTCCAAATCTCCAATCGCAGATTCTACAAAAAGATTGTTTACAACCTGCTCTATCTATAGGAATGTTCAACTCTGTGAGTCGAATGCAATCATCACAAAGTAGTTTCTGAGAATGCTTCCATCTAGTTTTTATGTGAAGATTTTCCTTTTCCACCACAGGCCTCAAAGCCCTCCAAATGTCCACTTGCAGATTCTAGAATAAGAGGGTTTCAGAGCTGCTCGGTCAAGAGGAAAGTTCAATTCTTGAAGTGGAACACAAACATCACAAAGCAGTTTCTGAGAATGCTCCTGTTTAGTTTTTCTGTGAAGATGAACCCGTTTCCAACGAAATCTTCACAGAGGTCCACATATCCACTTGCAGAATCCAAAGAAAGAGAGTTTCAAAACTGCTCCAACAGCAGGATTGTTCACCTCTGTGAGTTGAATGCAGTCATCACAGGAAACATTCTGAGAATGCTTCTGTCTCGGTTTGATGTGAAGATATACCCGTTTCGAAGGAAGGCCACAAAGTGGTCCAAATATCCACTTGCAGATTCTACAAAAAGAGTGTTTGAAAGCTGAACTATGAAAGCAAGGTTCAACTCTGTGAGTTGAATGCAAATATCACAAAGAAGTTTCTCACAATGCTTCCGTGTAGTTCTGGGAAGTTTATCCCGTTTCCAACGAAATCCTCAGAGAAGTCCAAATATCCACTTGCAGATTCTACAGAAAGTGTGTTTGGAAACTGCGCCATCTAAAGGAATGTTCAGCTCTGTTAGTTCAATGCAATGATCACTAAGAATTGTCTGTGAATGCTTCCGTTTGGTTTTTAGATGAAGTTATTTCCTTTACTACAGTAGGCCTCAAAGCAGTCCAAATCTCCAATCGCAGATTCTACAAAAAGATTGTTTACAACCTGCTCTATCTATAGGAATGTTCAACTCTGTGAGTCGAATGCAATCATCACAAAGTAGTTTCTGAGAATGCTTCCATCTAGTTTTTATGTGAAGATTTTCCTTTTCCACCACAGGCCTCAAAGCCCTCCAAATGTCCACTTGCAGATTCTAGAATAAGAGGGTTTCAGAGCTGCTCTGTCAAGAGGAAAGTTCAATTCCTGAAGTGGAACACAAACATCACAAAGCAGTTTCTGAGAATGCTTCTGTTTAGTTTTTCTGTGAAGATGAACCCGTTTCCAACGAAATCTTCACAGAGGTCCACATATCCACTTGCAGAATCCAAAGAAAGAGAGTTTCAAAACTGCTCCATCAGCAGGATTGTTCACCTCTGTGAGTTGAATGCAGTCATCACAGGAAACATTCTGAGAATGCTTCTGTCTAGGTTTGATGTGAAGATATACCCGTTTCGAAGGAAGGCCACAAAGTGGTCCAAATATCCACTTGCAGATTCTACAAAAAGAGTGTTTGAAAGCTGAACTATGAAAGCAAGGTTCAACTCTGTGAGTTGAATGCAAACATCACAAAGAAGTTTCTCAGAATGCTTCCGTGTAGTTCTGGGAAGTTTATCCCGTTTCCAACGAAATCCTCAGAGAAGTCCAAATATCCACTTGCAGATTCTACAGAAAGTGTGTTTGGAAACTGCTCCATCTAAAGGAATGTTCAGCTCTGTTAGTTCAATCCAATGATCACTAAGAATTGTCTGTGAATGCTTCCGTTTGGTTTTTAGATGAAGTTATTTCCTTTACTACAGTAGGCCTCAAAGCAGTCCAAATCTCCAATCGCAGATTCTACAAAAAGATTGTTTACAACCTGCTCTATCTATAGGAATGTTCAACTCTGTGAGTCGAATGCAATCATCACAAAGTAGTTTCTGAGAATGCTTCCATCTAGTTTTTATGTGAAGATTTTCCTTTTCCACCACAGGCCTCAAAGCCCTCCAAATGTCCACTTGCAGATTCTAGAATAAGAGGGTTTCAGAGCTGCTCTGTCAAGAGGAAAGTTCAATTCCTGAAGTGGAACACAAACATCACAAAGCAGTTTCTGAGAATGCTTCTGTTTAGTTTTTCTGTGAAGATGAACCCGTTTCCAACGAAATCTTCACAGAGGTCCACATATCCACTTGCAGAATCCAAAGAAAGAGAGTTTCAAAACTGCTCCATCAGCAGGATTGTTCACCTCTGTGAGTTGAATGCAGTCATCACAGGAAACATTCTGAGAATGCTTCTGTCTAGGTTTGATGTGAAGATATACCCGTTTCGAAGGAAGGCCACAAAGTGGTCCAAATATCCACTTGCAGATTCTACAAAAAGAGTGTTTGAAAGCTGAACTATGAAAGCAAGGTTCAACTCTGTGAGTTGAATGCAAACATCACAAAGAAGTTTCTCACAATGCTTCCGTGTAGTTCTGGGAAATTTATCCCGTTTCCAACGAAATCCTCAGAGAGGTCCAAATATCCACTTGCAGATTCTACAGAAAGTGTGTTTGGAAACTGCGCCATCTAAAGGAATGTTCAGCTCTGTTAGTTCAATGCAATGATCACTAAGAATTGTCTGTGAATGCTTCCGTTTGGTTTTTAGATGAAGTTATTTCCTTTACTACAGTAGGCCTCAAAGCAGTCCAAATCTCCAATCGCAGATTCTACAAAAAGATTGTTTACAACCTGCTCTATCTATAGGAATGTTCAACTCTGTGAGTCGAATGCAATCATCACAAAGTAGTTTCTGAGAATGCTTCCATCTAGTTTTTATGTGAAGATTTTCCTTTTCCACCACAGGCCTCAAAGCCCTCCAAATGTCCACTTGCAGATTCTAGAAAAAGAGGGTTTCAGAGCTGCTCTGTCAAGAGGAAAGTTCAATTCTTGAAGTGGAACACAAACATCACAAAGCAGTTTCTGAGAATGCTCCTGTTTAGTTTTTCTGTGAAGATGAACCTGTTTCCAACGAAATCTTCACAGAGGTCCACATATCCACCTGCAGAATCCAAAGAAAGAGAGTTTCAAAACTGCTCCATCAGCAGGATTGTTCACCTACTGTGAGTTGAATGCAGTCATCACAGGAAACATTCCGAGAATGCTTCTGTCTAGGTTTGATGTGAAGATATACCCGTTTCGAAGGAAGGCCACAAAGTGGTCCAAATATCCACTTGCAGATTCTACAAAAAGAGTGTTTGAAAGCTGAACTATGAAAGCAAGGTTCAACTCTGTGAGTTGAATGCAAACATCACAAAGAAGTTTCTCAGAATGCTTCCGTGTAGTTCTGGGAAGTTTATCCCGTTTCCAACGAAATCCTCAGAGAAGTCCAAATATCCACTTGCAGATTCTACAGAAAGTGTGTTTGGAAACTGCTCCATCTAAAGGAATGTTCAGCTCTGTTAGTTCAATCCAATGATCACTAAGAATTGTCTGTGAATGCTTCCGTTTGGTTTTTAGATGAAGTTATTTCCTTTACTACAGTAGGCCTCAAAGCAGTCCAAATCTCCAATCGCAGATTCTACAAAAAGATTGTTTACAACCTGCTCTATCTATAGGAATGTTCAACTCTGTGAGTCGAATGCAATCATCACAAAGTAGTTTCTGAGAATGCTTCCATCTAGTTTTTATGTGAAGAGTTTCCTTTTCCACCACAGGCCTCAAAGCCCTCCAAATGTCCACTTGCAGATTCTAGAATAAGAGGGTTTCAGAGCTGCTCTGTCAAGAGGAAAGTTCAATTCCTGAAGTGGAACACAAACATCACAAAGCAGTTTCCGAGAATGCTTCTGTTTAGTTTTTCTGTGAAGATGAACCCGTTTCCAACGAAATCTTCACAGAGGTCCACATATCCACTTGCAGAATCCAAAGAAAGAGAGTTTCAAAACTGCTCCATCAGCAGGATTGTTCACCTCTGTGAGTTGAATGCAGTCATCACAGGAAACATTCTGAGAATGCTTCTGTCTAGGTTTGATGTGAAGATATACCCTTTTCAAAGGAAGGCCACAAAGTGGTCCAAATATCCACTTGCAGATTCTACAAAAAGAGTGTTTGAAAGCTGAACTATGAAAGCAAGGTTCAACTCTGTGAGTTGAATGCAAACATCACAAAGAAGTTTCTCACAATGCTTCCGTGTAGTTCTGGGAAGTTTATCCCGTTTCCAACGAAATCCTCAGAGAGGTCCAAATATCCACTTGCAGATTCTACAGAAAGTGTGTTTGGAAACTGCGCCATCTAAAGGAATGTTCAGCTCTGTTAGTTCAATGCAATGATCACTAAGAATTGTCTGTGAATGCTTCCGTTTGGTTTTTAGATGAAGTTATTTCCTTTACTACAGTAGGCCTCAAAGCAGTCCAAATCTCCAATCGCAGATTCTACAAAAAGATTGTTTACAACCTGCTCTATCTATAGGAATGTTCAACTCTGTGAGTCGAATGCAATCATCACAAAGTAGTTTCTGAGAATGCTTCCATCTAGTTTTTATGTGAAGATTTTCCTTTTCCACCACAGGCTTCAAAGCCCTCCAAATGTCCACTTGCAGATTCTAGAAAAAGAGGGTTTCAGAGCTGCTCTGTCAAGAGGAAAGTTCAATTCTTGAAGTGGAACACAAACATCACAAAGCAGTTTCTGAGAATACTTCTGTTTAGTTTTTCTGTGAAGATGAACCCGTTTCCAACGAAATCTTCACAGAGGTCCACATATCAACTTGCAGAATCCAAAGAAAGAGAGTTTCAAAACTGCTCCATCAACAGGATTGTTCACCTCTGTGAGTTGAATGCAGTCATCACAGGAAACATTCTGAGAATGCTTCTGTCTAGGTTTGATGTGAAGATATACCCGTTTCGAAGGAAGGCCACAAAGTGGTCCAAATATCCACTTGCAGATTCTACAAAAAGAGTGTTTGAAAGCTGAACTATGAAAGCAAGGTTCAACTCTGTGAGTTGAATGCAAACATCACAAAGAAGTTTCTCACAATGCTTCCGTGTAGTTCTGGGAAGTTTATCCCGTTTCCAACGAAATCCTCAGAGAGGTCCAAATATCCACTTGCAGATTCTACAGAAAGTGTGTTTGGAAACTGCGCCATCTAAAGGAATGTTCAGCTCTGTTAGTTCAATGCAATGATCACTAAGAATTGTCTGTGAATGCTTCCGTTTGGTTTTTAGATGAAGTTATTTCCTTTACTACAGTAGGCCTCAAAGCAGTCCAAATCTCCAATCGCAGATTCTACAAAAAGATTGTTTACAACCTGCTCTATCTATAGGAATGTTCAACTCTGTGAGTCGAATGCAATCATCACAAAGTAGTTTCTGAGAATGCTTCCATCTAGTTTTTATGTGAAGATTTTCCTTTTCCACCACAGGCCTCAAAGCCCTCCAAATGTCCACTTGCAGATTCTAGAAAAAGAGGGTTTCAGAGCTGCTCTGTCAAGAGGAAAGTTCAATTCTTGAAGTGGAACACAAACATCACAAAGCAGTTTCTGAGAATGCTCCTGTTTAGTTTTTCTGTGAAGATGAACCCGTTTCCAACGAAATCTTCACAGAGGTCCAAATATCCACTTGCAGAATCCAAAGAAAGAGAGTTTCAAAACTGCTCCATCAGCAGGATTGTTCACCTCTGTGAGTTGAATGCAGTCATCACAGGAAACATTCTGAGAATGCTTCTGTCTAGGTTTGATGTGAAGATATACCCGTTTCGAAGGAAGGCCACAAAGTGGTCCAAATATCCACTTGCAGATTCTACAAAAGGAGTGTTTGAAAGCTGAACTATGAAAGCAAGGTTCAACTCTGTGAGTTGAATGCAAACATCACAAAGAAGTTTCTCACAATGCTTCCGTGTAGTTCTGGGAAGTTTATCCCGTTTCCAACGAAATCCTCAGAGAAGTCCAAATATCCACTTGCAGATTCTACAGAAAGTGGGTTTGGAAACTGCTCCATCTAAAGGAATGTTCAGCTCTGTTAGTTCAATCCAATGATCACTAAGAATTGTCTGTGAATGCTTCCGTTTGGTTTTTAGATGAAGTTATTTCCTTTACTACAGTAGGCCTCAAAGCAGTCCAAATCTCCAATCGCAGATTCTACAAAAAGATTGTTTACAACCTGCTCTATCTATAGGAATGTTCAACTCTGTGAGTCGAATGCAATCATCACAAAGTAGTTTCTGAGAATGCTTCCATCTAGTTTTTATGTGAAGATTTTCCTTTTCCACCACAGGCCTCAAAGCCCTCCAAATGTCCACTTGCAGATTCTAGAAAAAGAGGGTTTCAGAGCTGCTCTGTCAAGAGGAAAGTTCAATTCTTGAAGTGGAACACAAACATCACAAAGCAGTTTCTGAGAATGCTCCTGTTTAGTTTTTCTGTGAAGATGAACCCGTTTCCAACGAAATCTTCACAGAGGTCCACATATCCACTTGCAGAATCCAAAGAAAGAGAGTTTCAAAACTGCTCCATCAGCAGGATTGTTCACCTCTGTGAGTTGAATGCAGTCATCACAGGAAACATTCTGAGAATGCTTCTGTCTAGGTTTGATGTGAAGATATACCCGTTTCGAAGGAAGGCCACAAAGTGGTCTAAATATCCACTTGAAGATTCTACAAAAAGAGTGTTTGAAAGCTGAACTATGAAAGCAAGGTTCAACCCTGTGAGTTGAATGCAAACATCACAAAGAAGTTTCTCAGAATGCTTCCGTGTAGTTCTGGGAAGTTTATCCCGTTTCCAACGAAATCCTCAGAGAGGTCCAAATATCCACTTGCAGATTCTACAGAAAGTGTGTTTGGAAACTGCTCCATCTAAAGGAATGTTCAGCTCTGTTAGTTCAATCCAATGATCACTAAGAATTGTCTGTGAATGCTTCCGTTTGGTTTTTAGATGAAGTTATTTCCTTTACTACAGTAGACCTCAAAGCAGTCCAAATCTCCAATCGCAGATTCTACAAAAAGATTGTTTACAACCTGCTCTATCTATAGGAATGTTCATCTCTGTGAGTCGAATGCAATCATCACAATGTAGTTTCTGAGAATGCTTCCATCTAGTTTTTATGTGAAGATTTTCCTTTTCCACCACAGGCCTCAAAGCCCTCCAAATGTCCACTTGCAGATTCTAGAAAAAGAGGGTTTCAGAGCTGCTCTGTCAAGAGGAAAGTTCAATTCTTGAAGTGGAACGCAAACATCACAAAGTAGTTTCTGAGAATGCTTCTGTTTAGTTTTTCTGTGAAGATGAACCCGTTTCCAACGAAATCTTCACAGAGGTCCACATATCAACTTGCAGAATCCAAAGAAAGAGAGTTTCAAAAGTGCTCCATCAACAGGATTGTTCACCTCTGTGAGTTGAATGCAGTCATCACAGGAAACATTCTGAGAATGCTTCTGTCTAGGTTTGATGTGAAGATATACCCGTTTCGAAGGAAGGCCACAAAGTGCTCCAAATATCCACTTGCAGATTCTACAAAAAGAGTGTTTGAAAGCTGAACTATGAAAGCAAGTTTCAACTCTGTGAGTTGAATGCAAACATCACAAAGAAGTTTCTCAGCATGCTTTCCGTGTAGTTCTGGGAATTTTATCCCGTTTCCATCGAAATCCTCAGAGAAGTCCAAATATCCACTTGCAGATTCTACAGAAAGTGTGTTTGGAAACTGCTCCATCTAAAGGAGTGTTCAGCTCTGTTACTTCAATCCAATGATCACTAAGAATTGTCTGTGAATGCTTCCGTTTGGTTTTTAGATGAAGTAATTTCCTTTACTACAGTAGGCCTCAAAGCAGTCCAAATCTCCAATCGCAGATTCTACAAAAAGATTGTTTACAACCTGCTCTATCTATAGGAATGTTCAATTCTGTGAGTCGAATGCAATCATCACAAAGAAGTTTCTGAGAATGCTTCCATAAAGTTTTTATGTGAAGATTTTCCTTTTCCACCACAGGCCTCAAAGCCCTCCAAATGTCCACTTGCAGATTCTAGAAAAAGAGGGTTTCAGAGCTGCTCTGTCAAGAGGAAAGTTCAATTCTTTAAGTGGAACACAAACATCACAAAGCAGTGTCTGAGAATGCTCCTGTTTAGTTTTTCTGTGAAGATGAACCCGTTTCCAACGAAATCTTCACAGAGGTCCACATATCCACTTGCAGAATCCAAAGAAAGAGAGTTTCAAAACTGCTCCATCAGCAGGATTGTTCACCTCTGTGAGTTGAATGCAGTCATCACAGGAAACATTCTCAGAATGCTTCTGTCTAGGTTTGATGTGAAGATATACCCGTTTCGAAGGAAGGCCACAAAGTGGTCCAAATATCCACTTGCAGATTCCACAAAATGAGTGTTTGAAAGCTGAACTATGAAAGCAAGGTTCAACTCTGTGAGTTGAATGCAAACACCACAAAGAAGTTTCTCACAATGCTTCCGTGTAGTTCTGGGAAGTTTATCCCGTTTCCAACGAAATCCTCAGAGAAGTCCAAATATCCACTTGCAGATTCTACAGAAAGTGGGTTTGGAAACTGCTCCATCTAAAGGAATGTTCAGCTCTGTTAGTTCAATCCAATGATCACTAAGAATTGTCTGTGAATGCTTCCGTTTGGTTTTTAGATGAAGTTATTTCCATTACCACAGTAAGCCTCAAAGCAGTCCAAATCTCCAATCGCAGATTCTACAAAAAGATTGTTTACAACCTACTCTACCTATAGGAATGTTCAACTCTGTGAGTCGAATGCAATCATCAGAAAGTAGTTTCTGAGAATGCTTCCATCTAGTTTTTATGTGAAGATTTTCCTTTTCCACCACAGGCCTCAAAGCCCTCCAAATGTCCACTTGCAGATTCTAGAATAAGAGGGTTTCAGAGCTGCTCTGTCAAGAGGAAAGTTCAATTCCTGAAGTGGAACACAAACATCACAAAGCAGTTTCTGAGAATGCTTCTGTTTAGTTTTTCTGTGAAGATGAACCCGTTTCCAACGAAATCTTCACAGAGGTCCACATATCCACTTGCAGAATCCAAAGAAAGAGAGTTTCAAAACTGCTCCATCAGCAGGATTGTTCACCTCTGTGAGTTGAATGCAGTCATCACAGGAAACATTCTGAGAATGCTTCTGTCTAGGTTTGATGTGAAGATATACCCGTTTCGAAGGAAGGCCACAAAGTGGTCCAAATATCCACTTGCAGATTCTACAAAAAGAGTGTTTGAAAGCTGAACTATGAAAGCAAGGTTCAACTCTGTGAGTTGAATGCAAACATCACAAAGAAGTTTCTCACAATGCTTCCGTGTAGTTCTGGGAAGTTTATCCCGTTTCCAACGAAATCCTCAGAGAGGTCCAAATATCCACTTGCAGATTCTACAGAAAGTGTGTTTGGAAACTGCTCCATCTAAAGGAATGTTCAGCTCTGTTAGTTCAATCCAATGATCACTAAGAATTGTCTGTGAATGCTTCCGTTTGGTTTTTAGATGAAGTTATTTCCTTTACTACAGTAGGCCTCAAAGCAGTCCAAATCTCCAATCGCAGACTCTACAAAAAGATTGTTTACAACCTGCTCTATCTATAGGAATGTTCAACTCCTGTGAGTCGAATGCAGTCATCACAAAGTAGTTTCTGAGAATGCTTCCATCTAGTTTTTATGTGAAGATTTTCCTTTTCCACCACAGGCCTCAAAGCCCTCCAAATGTCCACTTGCAGATTCTAGAAAAAGAGGGTTTCAGAGCTGCTCTGTCAAGAGGAAAGTTCAATTCTTGAAGTGGAACACAAACATCACAAAGCAGTTTCTGAGAATGCTCCTGTTTAGTTTTTCTGTGAAGATGAACCCGTTTCCAACGAAATCTTCACAGAGGTCCACATATCCACTTGCAGAATCCAAAGAAAGAGAGTTTCAAAACTGCTCCATCAGCAGGATTGTTCACCTCTGTGAGTTGAATGCAGTCATCACAGGAAACATTCTGAGAATGCTTCTGTCTAGGTTTGATGTGAAGATATAGCCGTTTCGAAGGAAGGCCACAAAGTGGTCCAAATATCCACTTGCAGATTCTACAAAAAGAGGGTTTGAAAGCTGAACTATGAAAGCAAGGTTCAACTCTCTGAGTTGAATGCAAACATCACAAAGAAGTTTCTCACAATGCTTCCGTGTAGTTCTGGGAAGTTTATCCCGTTTCCAACGAAATCCTCAGAGAGGTCCAAATATCCACTTGCAGATTCTACAGAAAGTGTGTTTGGAAACTGCGCCATCTAAAGGAATGTTCAGCTCTGTTAGTTCAATGCAATGATCACTAAGAATTGTCTGTGAATGCTTCCGTTTGGTTTTTAGATGAAGTTATTTCCTTTACTACAGTAGGCCTCAAAGCAGTCCAAATCTCCAATCGCAGATTCTACAAAAAGATTGTTTACAACCTGCTCTATCTATAGGAATGTTCAACTCTGTGAGTCGAATGCAATCATCACAAAGTAGTTTCTAAGAATGCTTCCATCTAGTTTTTATGTGAAGATTTTCCTTTTCCACCACAGGCCTCAAAGCCCTCCAAATGTCCACTTGCAGATTCTAGAAAAAGAGGGTTTCAGAGCTGCTCTGTCAAGAGGAAAGTTCAATTCTTGAAGTGGAACACAAACATCACAAAGCAGTTTCTGAGAATGCTCCTGTTTAGTTTTTCTGTGAAGATGAACCCGTTTCCAACAAAATCTTCACAGAGGTCCACATATCCACTTGCAGAATCCAAAGAAAGAGAGTTTCAAAACTGCTCCATCAGCAGGATTGTTCACCTCTGTGAGTTGAATGCAGTCATCACAGGAAACATTCTGAGAATGCTTCTGTCTAGGTTTGATGTGAAGATATACCCGTTTCGAAGGAAGGCCACAAAGTGGTCCAAATATCCACTTGCAGATTCTACAAAAAGAGTGTTTGAAAGCTGAACTATGAAAGCAAGGTTCAACTCTGTGAGTTGAATGCAAACATCACAAAGAAGTTTCTCACAATGCTTCCGTGTAGTTCTGGGAAGTTTATCCCGTTTCCAACGAAATCCTCAGAGAAGTCCAAATATCCACTTGCAGATTCTACAGAAAGTGGGTTTGGAAACTGCTCCATCTAAAGGAATGTTCAGCTCTGTTAGTTCAATCCAATGATCACTAAGAATTGTCTGTGAATGCTTCCGTTTGGTTTTTAGATGAAGTTATTTCCTTTACTACAGTAGGCCTCAAAGCAGTCCAAATCTCCAATCGCAGATTCTACAAAAAGATTGTTTACAACCTGCTCTATCTATAGGAATGTTCAACTCTGTGAGTCGAATGCAATCATCACAAAGTAGTTTCTGAGAATGCTTCCATCTAGTTTTTATGTGAAGATTTTCCTTTTCCACCACAGGCCTCAAAGCCCTCCAAATGTCCACTTGCAGATTCTAGAAAAAGAGGGTTTCAGAGCTGCTCTGTCAAGAGGAAAGTTCAATTCTTGAAGTGGAACACAAACATCACAAAGCAGTTTCTGAGAATGCTCCTGTTTAGTTTTTCTGTGAAGATGAACCCGTTTCCAACGAAATCTTCACAGAGGTCCACATATCAACTTGCAGAATCCAAAGAAAGAGAGTTTCAAAACTGCTCCAACAGCAGGATTGTTCACCTCTGTGAGTTGAATGCAGTCACCACAGGAAACATTCTGAGAATGCTTCTGTCTAGGTTTGATGTGAAGATATACCCGTTTCGAAGGAAGGCCACAAAGTGGTCCAAATATCCACTTGCAGATTCTACAAAAAGAGTGTTTGAAAGCTGAACTATGAAAGCAAGGTTCAACTCTGTGAGTTGAATGCAAACATCACAAAGAAGTTTCTCAGAATGCTTCCGTGTAGTTCTGGGAAGTTTATCCCGTTTCCAACGAAATCCTCAGAGAAGTCCAAATATCCACTTGCAGATTCTACAGAAAGTGTGTTTGGAAACTGCTCCATCTAAAGCAATGTTCAGCTCTGATAGTTCAATGCAATGATCACTAAGAATTGTCTGTGAATGCTTCCGTTTGGTTTTTAGATGAAGTTATTTCCTTTACTACAGTAGGCCTCAAAGCAGTCCAAATCTCCAATCGCAGATTCTACAAAAAGATTGTTTACAACCTGCTCTATCTGTAGGAATGTTCAACTCTGTGAGTCGAATGCAATCATCACAAAGTAGTTTCTGAGAATGCTTCCATCTAGTTTTTATGTGAAGATTTTCCTTTTCCACCACAGGCCTCAAAGCCCTCCAAATGTCCACTTGCAGATTCTAGAAAAAGAGGGTTTCAGAGCTGCTCTGTCAAGAGGAAAGTTCAATTCTTGAAGTGGAACACAAACATCACAAAGCAGTTTCTGAGAATGCTCCTGTTTAGTTTTTCTGTGAAGATGAACCCGTTTCCTACGAAATCTTCACAGAGGTCCACATATCCACTTGGAGAATCCAAAGAAAGAGAGTTTCAAAACTGCTCCATCAGCAGGATTGTTCACCTCTGTGAGTTGAATGCAGTCATCACAGGAAACATTCTGAGAATGCTTCTGTCTAGGTTTGATGTGAAGATATACCCGTTTCGAAGGAAGGCCAGAAAGTGGTCCAAATATCCACTTGCAGATTCTACAAAAAGAGTGTTTGAAAGCTGAACTATGAAAGCAAGGTTCAACTCTGTGAGTTGAATGCAAACATCACAAAGAAGTTTCTCAGAATGCTTCCGTGTAGTTCTGGGAAGTTTATCCCGTTTCCAACGAAATCCTCAGAGAGGTCCAAATATCCACTTGCAGATTCTACAGAAAGTGTGTTTGGAAACTGCTCCATCTAATGGAATGTTCAGCTCTGTTAGTTCAATCCAATGATCATTAAGAATTGTCTGTGAATGCTTCCGTTTGGTTTTTAGATGAAGTTATTTCCTTTACTACAGTAGGCCTCAAAGCAGTCCAAATCTCCAATCGCAGATTCTACAAAAAGATTGTTTACAACCTGCTCTATCTATAGGAATGTGCAACTCTGTGAGTCGAATGCAATCATCACAAAGTAGTTTCTGAGAATGCTTCCATCTAGTTTTTATGTGAAGATTTTCCTTTTCCACCACAGGCCTAAAAGCCCTCCAAATGTCCACTTGCAGATTCTAGAAAAAGAGGGTTTCAGAGCTGCTCTGTCAAGAGGAAAGTTCAATTCTTGAAGTGGAACACAAACATCACAAAGCAGTTTCTGAGAATGCTTCTGTTTAGTTTTTCTGTGAAGATGAACCCGTTTCCAACGAAATCTTCACAGAGGTCCACATATCCACTTGCAGAATCCAAAGAAAGAGAGTTTCAAAACTGCTCCATCAGCAGGATTGTTCACCTCTGTGAGTTGAATGCAGTCATCACAGGAAACATTCTGAGAATGCTTCTGTCTAGGTTTGATGTGAAGATATACCCGTTTCGAAGGAAGGCCACAAAGTGGTCCAAATATCCACTTGCAGATTCTACAAAAAGAGTGTTTGAAAGCTGAACTATGAAAGCAAGGTTCAACTCTGTGAGTTGAATGCAAACATCACAAAGAAGTTTCTCAGCATGCTTCCGTGTAGTTCTGGGAAGTTTATCCCGTTTCCAACGAAATCCTCAGAGAGGTCCAAATATCCACTTGCAGATTCTACAGAAAGTGTGTTTGGAAACTGCTCCATCTAAAGGAATGTTCAGCTCTGTTAGTTCAATGCAATGATCACTAAGAATTGTCTGTGAATGCTTCCGTTTGGTTTTTAGATGAAGTTATTTCCTTTACTACAGTAGGCCTCAAAGCAGTCCAAATCTCCAATCGCAGATTCTACAAAAAGATTGTTTACAACCTGCTCTATCTATAGGAATGTTCAACTCTGTGAGTCGAATGCAATCATCACAAAGTAGTTTCTGAGAATGCTTCCATCTAGTTTTTATGTGAAGATTTTCCTTTTCCACCACAGGCCTCAAAGCCCTCCAAATGTCCACTTGCAGATTCTAGAATAAGAGGGTTTCAGAGCTGCTCTGTCAAGAGGAAAGTTCAATTCCTGAAGTGGAACACAAACATCACAAAGCAGTTTCTGAGAATGCTTCTGTTTAGTTTTTCTGTGAAGATGAACCCGTTTCCAACGAAATCTTCACAGAGGTCCACATATCCACTTGCAGAATCCAAAGAAAGAGAGTTTCAAAACTGCTCCATCAGCAGGATTGTTCACCTCTGTGAGTTGAATGCAGTCATCACAGGAAACATTCTGAGAATGCTTCTGTCTAGGTTTGATGTGAAGATATACCCGTTTCGAAGGAAGGCCACAAAGTGGTCCAAATATCCACTTGCAGATTCTACAAAAAGAGTGTTTGAAAGCTGAACTATGAAAGCAAGGTTCAACTCTGTGAGTTGAATGCAAACATCACAAAGAAGTTTCTCAGAATGCTTCCGTGTAGTTCTGGGAAGTTTATCCCGTTTCCAACGAAATCCTCAGAGAAGTCCAAATATCCACTTGCAGATTCTACAGAAAGTGTGTTTGGAAAATGCTCCATCTACAGGAATGTTCAGCTCTGTTAGTTCAATGCAATGATCACTAAGAATTGTCTGTGAATGCTTCCGTTTGGTTTTTAGATGAAGTTATTTCCTTTACTACAGTAGGCCTCAAAGCAGTCCAAATCTCCAATCGCAGATTCTACAAAAAGATTGTTTACAACCTGCTCTATCTATAGGAATGTTCAACTCTGTGAGTCGAATGCAATCATCACAAAGTAGTTTCTGAGAATGCTTCCATCTAGTTTTTATGTGAAGATTTTCCTTTTCCACCACAGGCCTCAAAGCCCTCCAAATGTCAACTTGCAGATTCTAGAATAAGAGGGTTTCAGAGCTGCTCTGTCAAGAGGAAAGTACAATTCCTGAAGTGGAACACAAACATCACAAAGCAGTTTCTGAGAATGCTCCTGTTTAGTTTTTCTGTGAAGATGAACCCGTTTCCAATGAAATCTTCACAGAGGTCCACATATCCACTTGCAGAATCCAAAGAAAGAGAGTTTCAAAACTGCTCCAACAGCAGGATTGTTCACCTCTGTGAGTTGAATGCAGTCATCACAGGAAACATTCTGAGAATGCTTCTGTCAAGGTTTGATGTGAAGATATGCCCGTTTCGAAGGAAGGCCACAAATTGGTCCAAATATCCACTTGCAGATTCTACAAAAAGAGTGTTTGAAAGCTGAACTATGAAACCAAGGTTCAACTCTGTGAGTTGAATGCAACCATCACAAAGAAGTTTCTTAGAATACTTCCGTGTAGTTCTGGGAAGCATATCCCGTTTCCAACGAAATCCTCAGAGAGGTCCAAATATCCACTTGCATATTCTACAGAAAGTGGGTTTGGAAACTGCTCCATCTAAAGGAATGTTCAGCTCTGTTAGTTCAATCCAATGATCACTAAGCATTGTCAGTGAATGCTTCCGTTTGGTTTTTAGATGAAGTTATTTCCTTTACTACAGTAGGCCTCAAAGCAGTCCAAATCTCCAATCGCAGATTCTACAAAAAGATTGTTTACAACCTGCTCTATCTATAGGAATGTTCAACTCTGTGAGTCGAATGCAATCATCACAAAGTAGTTTCTGAGAATGCTTCCATCTAGTTTTTATGGGAAGATTTTCCTTTTCCACCACAGGCCTCAAAGCCCTCCAAATGTCCACTTGCAGATTCTAGAAAAAGAGGGTTTCAGAGCTGCTCTGTCAAGAGGAAAGTTCAATTCTTGAAGTGGAACACAAACATCACAAAGCAGTTTCTGAGAATGCTTCTGTTTAGTTTTTCTGTGAAGATGAACCCGTTTCCAACGAAATCTTCACAGAGGTCCACATATCCACTTGCAGAATCCAAAGAAAGAGAGTTTCAAAACTGCTCCATCAGCAGGATTGTTCACCTCTGTGAGTTGAATGCAGTCATCACAGGAAACATTCTGAGAATGCTTCTGTCTAGGTTTGATGTGAAGATATACCCGTTTCGAAGGAAGGCCACAAAGTGGTCCAAATATCCACTTGCAGATTCTACAAAAAGAGTGTTTGAAAGCTGAACTATGAAAGCAAGGTTCAACTCTGTGAGTTGAATGCAAACATCACAAGGAAGTTTCTCAGAATGCTTCCGTGTAGTTCTGGGAAGTTTATCCCGTTTCCAACGAAATCCTCAGAGAAGTCCAAATATCCACTTGCAGATTCTACAGAAAGTGGGTTTGGAAACTGCTCCATCTAAAGGAATGTTCAGCTCTGTTAGTTCAATCCAATGATCACTAAGAATTGTCTGTGAATGCTTCCGTTTGGTTTTTAGATGAAGTTATTTCCTTTACTACAGTAGGCCTCAAAGCAGTCCAAATCTCCAATCGCAGATTCTACAAAAAGATTGTTTACAACCTGCTCTATCTATAGGAATGTTCAACTCTGTGAGTCGAATGCAATCATCACAAAGTAGTTTCTGAGAATGCTTCCATCTAGTTTTTATGTGAAGATTTTCCTTTTCCACCACAGGCCTCAAAGCCCTCCAAATGTCCACTTGCAGATTCTAGAATAAGAGGGTTTCAGAGCTGCTCTGTCAAGAGGAAAGTTCAATTCCTGAAGTGGAACACAAACATCACAAAGCAGTTTCTGAGAATGCTTCTGTTTAGTTTTTCTGTGAAGATGAACCCGTTTCCAACGAAATCTTCACAGAGGTCCACATATTCACTTGCAGAATCCAAAGAAAGAGAGTTTCAAAAGTGCTCCATCAGCAGGATTGTTCACCTCTGTGAGTTGAATGCAGTCATCACAGGAAACATTCTGAGAATGCTTCTGTCTAGGTTTGATGTGAAGATATACCCGTTTCGAAGGAAGGCCACAAAGTGGTCCAAATATCCACTTGCAGATTCTACAAAAAGAGTGTTTGAAAGCTGAACTATGAAAGCAAGGTTCAACTCTGTGAGTTGAATGCAAACATCACAAAGAAGTTTCTCACAATGCTTCCGTGTAGTTCTGGGAAGTTTATCCCGTTTCCAACGAAATCCTCAGAGAAGTCCAAATATCCACTTGCAGATTCTACAGAAAGTGTGTTTGGAAACTGCGCCATCTAAAGGAATGTTCAGCTCTGTTAGTTCAATGCAATGATCACTAAGAATTGTCTGTGAATGCTTCCGTTTGGTTTTTAGATGAAGTTATTTCCTTTACTACAGTAGGCCTCAAAGCAGTCCAAATCTCCAATCGCAGATTCTACAAAAAGATTGTTAACAACCTTCTCTATCTATAGGAATGTTCAACTCGGTGAGTCGAATGCAATCATCACAAAGTAGTTTCTGAGAATGCTTCCATCTAGTTTTTATGTGAAGATTTTCCTTTTCCACCACAGGCCTCAAAGCCCTCCAAATGTCCACTTGCAGATTCTAGAAAAAGAGGGTTTCAGAGCTGCTCTGTCAAGAGGAAAGTTCAATTCTTGAAGTGGAACACAAACATCACAAAGCAGTTTCTGAGAATGCTTCTGTTTAGTTTTTCTGTGAAGATGAACCCGTTTCCAACGAAATCTTCACAGAGGTCCACATATCCACTTGCAGAATCCAAAGAAAGAGAGTTTCAAAACTGCTCCATCAGCAGGATTGTTCACCTCGGTGAGTTGAATGCAGTCATCACAGGAAACATTCTGAGAATGCTTCTGTCTAGGTTTGATGTGAAGATATACCCGTTTCGAAGGAAGGCGACAAAGTGGTCCAAATATCCACTTGCAGATTCTACAAAAAGAGTGTTTGAAAGCTGAACTATGAAAGCAAGGTTCAACTCTGTGAGTTGAATGCAAACATCACAAAGAAGTTTCTCAGAATGCTTCCGTGTAGTTCTGGGAAGTTTAGCCCTTTTCCAACGAAATCCTTAGAGAGGTCCAAATATCCACTTGCAGATTCTACAGAAAGTGTGTTTGGAAACTGTGCCATCTAAAGGAATGTTCAGCTCTGTTAGTTCAATCCAATGATCACTAAGAATTTTCTGTGAATGCTTCCGTTTGGTTTTTAGATGAAGTTATTTCCTTTACTACAGTAGGCCTCAAAGCAGTCCAAATCTCCAATCGCAGATTCTACAAA